>NC_000007.14:40543272-40846302 GCF_000001405.40 Homo sapiens | reverse complement strand
GACAACGTGCTCTTTGCCAAAATAATCAATTCTTCCTCTTCTTTGCCTTCTAGAATTCAAATATTCAATACAAGCTCTTTGGGCGCATTCCCAAGACTTTGTTTGGTTAGATTTCACCATGGAAAACAAAATTGGTTCAGCTGAAGTCTATAGCCAGAATATTTTAAGCTCCATAGTCCTTCAAAGTAGTGACCTTCTCCTCACCTCCTCTGCCTCTGTGCTCCATTAAGGAAAAAACCGGAAATTTCCAGTCAGAGAAGCCAGATCACGTTTCGATTCAATTTTAAAAGGAGCAACTAAACAGAGCTATAGTAGGTGCTTATCTGTGGCTCTTACCTCAAATGAGCTTTGAAAAGTTTTTCTGTAAACTTGATGATACTAGTCTTTCAGAATTTAATAAATTTTTTCTGAACGTTTTAGTCACTATAGTAAAAGAATTAGTCTTATATCAACCATCTTCTATTCCTTCCCCAGAGTCTTTAAGATCACACAAATGACGGTTATATTCCAAGCAAAGAGAGAATCAAGAAAATTAGGCCCCCCAAACCTGCTGCTAAGAAAAAGGGAATATGTTAATTATTTGTCGAACAATTGATCTTAGTTTTTCCCTTTCACCTTGCCTTTGCAGTCCAGATGGAAATGTTTTAGGAGAAAGTCCTTTCTCTCTATGCCCCTATTTGAATTTTGGCATGACCATCCTCTCAATAACAGCACTCTAATCCCTGGCCTTACTTATACCTTGCTAGCCCCACAGTCCTATCTCTGAAAATGTCTTTCACACACACCCACACTTCTGATCTTTTCTGTCATCCCCTTGGTTCAAAGCACTGTGCAATATGAGGACAACTTGTTCAATCCTTCTCCCCTGCTGTTTCTTCCAGCCAAACTGCACTTACTCTCCGCTGGACCTGAGGCTGTGTGGGTATATGTGCCAAAATGGAATGCATCTCAGCTTGGCAATCCTCAAGTCTACAATATTCTCAAAGCTCTGTTTAGGCTAACTTAATGTTGGACCTTCCCCTTTTCCCATAGTCCAAAGAAACATCTCCCTTCTTTGACTCCCTATAACATTTGATCTGCTTCTCCTCAGTGTTGTACCTCACTTTCTAATTGCATTATCTCTTGTGATCTTTGCTGACAACAAAATTAATGTTTTGTTCATTGTGTATCCTCCACAGCATCTACCATATGAGTATTCCATCAGTAAGTGCTGAAAATGTTAGACAAAAATAAAAAATAAAAAATAAACCACCAAAAACCAAAACCCACTAGATTCCTAGAATAGAAAACAAGGCCACTAGAAATATGTGAAATATAGAACTAAAGGGAGGTCAAGGCTTACAGATTGGTACATTTTGCACTACATTTCTAAGTGAAGTCATCTTGACTCTTCTCTTTCTCTTACATGTCATATCCAATCCATCAGCAAATTCTATTGATTCTGGCTTCTAAACACATACAAAATCCAATCACTTTTTACAGCCAGCCTAATGCTAGCTACCATCATCTCTTGCTGGATTTCTGTGAGAGCTTCCTATTGATACAGACAGGAGGCAGGGAAGTACTGGGTAGAAGAGGGCGGTCCCTGGCGAGGGCCCCACCCTCAAGCCTGGACCTGCGGTCCAAAATGAGAACTTTAACATCCCTGTTTTCCCACCCGAAATGTTGCCTTTTCCAAAACCACCCTGGCCCACCCTGCCCCCAACCCTGTACCCATAAAAACCCCAAGCTCCACTGGCAGGAGAGCAGAGTGGAGCAGCAGAGATGAGAAGAGAAGCAGCAGCCAGATGTCAGAGAAAAGCAGGTTGACTTCAGAGGGGTGACTTGATGGCGGGACTTCCGAGAAGAGTTCGGTCATTCAGGAGAAAATTATCTTCCCACTCTGTCCCCCTTCCAGCTCCCCTTCCCACTGAGAGCCACTTCCACCTCTAAATAAAATCCTCTGCATACACCAGCCTTCAATTCATTTGGGTGACCTGATTCTTCCTGGACACTGGACAAAAACTTGGATACCAAGAGGGCAGGGTGTAAAAGGCTGTCACCCTGACCCTCCACTGAGCTGGTTTACACTTAGCCATCTGCAGATGGAAAATGCTAAAAGAGCACTGATTGTAACACATGCCTTCTGGGGCTCCGGGAGTTGCAGACACCCCTTCCCAGACAGCAGAGCTAAAAAAGCATTGTAACATGCTTGGATGCTGCCGTGGTTCCTGTACAAAGCCTGCTCCCACCAGAGAGGAGCAACTGGCTGGTTCCAGTGTTGATTTGCCCTGGTTCCTGCACCCACTCACCTGAGTACTCCCCTTCCCGTGATGGGTTTAGAGCTGCGGGCCGAGTAAATGAGCCACCCCTTCACAAGTCTTGCAAAGAGGTCAAGGGAAATATCACTACCAGCTCTCCCTGCCTGCAGGCTTTCCTTCAGTGTATTCTCAACAAAGCAGCTGGAGTCACCCTTTAAAAACAAGTCCAGTCATGTCATTCCTCTGCTCAAAACACTGTGAGGCTTTCCCTTGCTCTTCACAATAGGCGATGGGGTTCTACATAATCCACTCCTCTTCCCACCAAGCCACCCTGTGCCTTCCTCTCTTGCACTGCTCCCTCTGGCTCAGTCTGCCCCACCCACACTGGCCTCCTTGCTGTTCACCAAGCATGTTCCTCCTTGGGAACTTTGCTCCAGCCATTCTTCTCTGCTGGGAACATTCTTCCTCCTAAAATCTACTCACATCATTCCCTCACGTCCTTCACATTTCTGCTCAGTGAGGCCTACACTGACTCACTTCAACTTTTTTTTTTTGAGACAGAGTCTCTCTCTGTTGCTAGGCTGGAGTGCAGTGGCGTGATCTCAGCTCATTGCAACCTCTGACTGCCTGGTTCAAGCAATTCTCCTGCCTCACCCTCCCGAGTAGCTGGGATTACAGGCATGCGCCACCATGCCCAGCTAATTTTGGTATTTTTAGTAGAGACGGGGTTTCACCATGTTGGCCGGGATGGTCTCTATCTCCTGACCTCGTGATCTGCCCGCCTCGGCCTCCCAAAGAGCTGAGATTACAGGCGTGAGCCACCACGCCCAGCTTCACTTCTACTTTTTTTCATCCTGCCACCCTGACTGCTACTTTCCATCGCCCCTTTGGCCAGTTTACCTCCTTTCTTCCAGAGTCCTTTTCATGTACATCTACCATTCTTTATCTGTCTTTCTCTGCTAGAATGTACATGTTATAATGGTAGAGATCTTTGTATTTCCTCAAGAGGGAGTGAATGAGGGACTGATTGAGTTTAACCAAGCTTTGAATTCAGTCCTCAGGTTTCTAAAACAAGGAAACTCAAAGTGCTCACAACCTCAAAAAACAAATTCTGTCAAACAGATCTAAAAGCAAGGTGAGGCATTTTCACTGAACATGAACCAAAATAGTCTCATGTAGACAAGAAAATGTTAAATGCAATGTGTCTGTTCTCACTGCACCTGACTTTACAGAATTGTGCAACTTGCATGTATGTTACCCACAAGAAAGAGGCCCTGCAATATTCCAAAAATGAAACATTCTAACAGCTGTGTGAAATCTTTGAGTATAAAGATCCACTTTATAAGTTGGATAAAAACAGGTGTTCAAGAACAATTTTAAGTTCTGTGAGGGCAGGAATCTTATCTGTTTTCTTTGCATTGTGTGTCCAGAGTCTAGTAAATTAACATGCTCAATAAATATTTGTTAAATGAACAAATAAATGAAGAGGAAGAGTTTCTACATTTTCAGAAATAAACAAGAATGCAAAAGGTAATTTAACTTTTCACTTAAAGGTTTTATCATCTGGGTGTTGGTATGATACCAAATTTACCTTAATTTAATTTGTTTAGATGTTAAGCTTTTAGTATGACAGTAATAGGTAAGACTCCATGAACCATGCAAAATGAGTCAGGAAAACACTGTCAGACTTTAAAAAAATGCTTATTATTTCTTCTTGGAAGAACATATTTTTTGTTATTTTTTTAAATGATTATTTGTTTTCCTACTTGGAAAACATAAGTCTTATTTCTTATTTCTATGAGACTGTAATTTGTACAATTGTACAATAAACTTATTTTGTTTCCCATGTTTCTCTTTGGTAGTGGGTGTTGCAAATTTCATATAATAATAATAATAATGATATGTGTCTGTTGTGGTACACAAACATTTTCCTATTTATTGTTTCTTCCCCTTCTGCATATTCTCCTTATTAACTATTTAGACTGATGCTTACAAAATGCCCTCCAATGTTCCTAATATTAATTCTGTGGTTATTCTTTCCCAGTATATTTTGAATTATTTAAAAGTATTTAACACACAAGGTGAAAAGGGCTAATTAGTACTGAAAATCTGAAATGTTTTTATTTTCACAGTTTCATTGTGGATCTGAGTATGGTCATTTATTTTTTATGTACTAATTAAATACACGAGTAATATTCACTCTCCCCAAAGGGCCCTCTGCACAGTTTCCAACAAACAAAATTGGCTCTCTTCTCACACTAAGGGTAGAGATGGCCATTGTCTATGAAATGTTTAGGATATCCTCAGCCCATGCTGAGTGGGAAGACATTTCTTTCCACATTGAAACTTCATTAATTTTGCCTGAATCACAATCCAGCATAGGTAATGAAAAATATGAAATGTATCATTTCTTATAAATAAATGAAACTATGTCAGAGATGTCTTACAAACCTGTAAGAAAACTTACTCTAGTAAAATACACAAGTGGATTATAACTAGTAAATCAATTCTTTGTCTACAACAGGTACTTGTTCTGTGTTTGAGCATGCTTATTTTTAAGAGTAACTGAAACATTCCCTGTGTAATCATAATTAAACCAACAATTTGTTTAGGAATGTCTTTAACAAGATAGCACAAAGATAAACATCAATTTAGTTGTCGTCATCTATAATAGATGATCATATATTCAAAATTAATGAGAACCAAATTTGAAATATAAATACTCTTAGGTCTCTAAGTCTAAAGGTCTGTAAAACAGGAAGATGTAGTCTCAGATAATGATTTATAAATTATTGTCTGTAAAAAAGTTATTGATGAATGAATAAAAGAATAATTTGTCATTTGTGTTAATACATTTTGTTGTCTGTGTCAGCAAAATTTTATTTTGTTTATTAGGAAAAATAAATAAGTAAAAAGGAAGTACTCTCATGAGAAGGTTCCCACATGACATTTTGAATCTCATAAAAGAAAAAAAAAAGTCTAAGTAATATAACAATGATGAGTTATAAATTTAAGAGTCCTCCTTGGATTACACTGGTTTAAAAGTTTTTGTACCTTGAAATTATAAAATAGTTTATGTGAGGAAAGTGACTATTTTCATATACTATAAAAGGATTAGGTAGTTGGCAGTCTCTAAAAATAGTTGTTGTAACATAAAAAAAAACACCCAAATACATGTCTGTGTTTTAAAGAGACTTAGCAGGAGTTATTTGATATTTGTAATTTATGTTTTCTCTATTTTTATTTTGTCAGACTTAGCAGGAGTTTATCAATATTATTAACTTTTTTTTAAGAACCAGCTTTTGTTTCATTGATTCTATTCTCCTATTTTCAATTTATTGATGTTTGATCATACATTTATCAATACCTTCCTTTTACTTGCTTGGGTTTATTTTTTACTTTTTTTCCCCCTAGTTTCTTGAGGTAGAAACTTAGATGATTGATTTGAGACGTTTTGTCTCCGCTGATGTAAACATTTAGTGCTATAAATTTTCCTCACAGTACTGCTTTAACTGTGTCCTACAAATTTTGACATGTTATATTTTCATTTTCATTTAGTTGATTGAATGTTTTTTCTTTTTTTTTTTTTGAGTCTTCCTCAACCTACGCATCATTTAGAAGTATGTTGTTTAATTTCCAAGTGTTTGGAGGTTATCCTGTTGTCTTGCAGTTATTGATTTCTTGTCTGAGAACATATTCTATGATTTTGTGGTGGTCACCCTGCAGGACTGACCTCCACCCAAAACTTCATTTGGATGTTGAGACTTAGGATTACAAGCATATACCAAGAGGGTATGAAAGGATTATTATTCACATAATGAGACTTTCTGAGGAGTGCAGGATGACTCCCATGGAGTTCACAAAGTGGCTCAAATTTAGATAACGAGCCCTACTCACAGAGATTCCGCTTTAGTATGTGTAAGGCCAGGCTCAGCAATATGCATTTTTGAGTTGGCATGCTAGAAAACTGAGGTGGAAAACCTCAGTTTCACACTTTGATAAATACCTAAGGCACTGAGTCATCTGTTTTTTCTTTGATAAGCTGGCTCTCACCCATAAAGGAAGCAGAAAATGAGAAAACCTCTTTTTTTTTTGAAAACAGATTTGGGATGCTCTCCTCTTCTGGGTTTTGCCCAAGAGGCTTCCAGCATTTCCTGTAGCACACTCGGTGGGCATTACTGCACATTCACTGGCACATCACTGGTCTGGGGAGTCAAACTTACTGTAGAATAGTCACTTGGATGTTTATTGAATGTTCTGTTTCATTGGAAACAAAATTGTGGTTAACAAAATAAAAATAGAGAAAACATAAATTACAAATATCAAGAATGAAACAAGGGACATCACTCCAGATCCTGCAGTCATTAAAAGTTTACTCTTAAAAATTTAACTCAGAAAATGACCTTTTACTCAGTAACCACTGACTACCAAAACTCAAAAAATATTAAAATAGGTAAGTTGAACAGTTCTATAATCATTAATGATACTGAATTCATAATTTAAAATTTTCTAAAAAAGAAATTTCTAGGTTTCTATGGTTTCACTGTAGAATTATACCAAACATTTAAAAAAGAATTTACACAATCACTTCCAGAATATAGAAGAGGGAGGAATATTTCCCAACTCATTTTATGATCTCAAAACCAATAAAAATTAGCTGGGCAGGGTGATACATGCTTACAGTGTCAGCTACTTGGGAGGCTAAGGTGGGAAGATTAGTTGAACCCAGGAGTTTGAAGCTGCAGTGAGCTATGATTGTGCCAGTACACTCCAGCCTGAGCAACAGAGCAAGATCCTGTCTCTAAAAAATAAAAATATGGTCTCAAAACTAGACAGACAGTACATCAAAAGAAAACTAGGGGTCAACATATCTCATAATCTTATGTCTAAAAATCTCAATATGGCAAATAAAATCCAGTAATGTATAAAAAAGAAGTATTCACCATGAACAAGTAGAATTTATTCCAGTAATGCCAAGTTGGTTTAATATTTGAAAATCAATCAATGCAATTCACCATATGAACAGGCTAAAGGAGAAAAATCATGTGATCATATCAATTGATGCAGAAAAGGTATTAGATGTAATACAACACCTACATGTGAAAAAAAAAAAAAAAACTCTCACCAAAGGAAGAATAGAGGGCACTTCTTCAACTTCATAAAAAACTAAAAAGCATTTACAAAACCCAATAGCTACCTTCATACTTAATGATAAAAGACTATATACTTTAAGATTAGAAACAAGGCAAGGATGTCCCCTTTCATCGCTCTTATTCAACAAAGTACTGTAAGTTCTAGCCCAGTAATAAGGCAATAAAAAGAAATAAAGGGCATATAGTTTGGAAAGGAAGAAATAAAATTGTCCTTATTTGCAGATAGCATGGTTGTCTATGTAGGAAATCTTCAGTAATCTATAAAGCAAACAAACAAAACGCTAGATGTAATGAAGGCCTTAGGATACAAGATAAAAGACGCAAAAAGCAATCACATTTCTATGTAGTAATAAGGAAAATGTGGAAACTGAAATTAAAAACACAACACTCCTTCCAATTACTCCAAACAAAATGAAATAGGTATAAAATTAACAAAGCTTTTAAGTATGCTGAACATTACAAAATGCTGATAAAAGAAATCATAGAAGACCTAAGTAAATGGAGAGACATACTGTGTTCATAAATTTGAAAATACAACATATTAAAGATGTCAATTCTCCTCAAATTGATACACATGTTGGATGTAATGCCTATCAAAATCCCTGAAAGAACTGTTGTTTTCTCCTGTAAACACAGATAAGCCTATTCTAAATTTTATCTGAAAAGACATAGGATTTGTAATAGCTAAAATAATTTTGAAAAAAGGGGTAAAGTAGGAAGATTCATTCTATTCTATTTTAACTATTATTATACAGTTACAATCATCAAGACCATGTAGTACCAGTGGAGCGATAGAAATCTCAGTCAATGGAACAGAAATAGAGAGTCCAGAAATAGACTCACAAAACATATCCAGTTGATGTTTAGCAGAGGTGCAAAGGCGATTAAATAGAGGAAAGATAGTTTTTTCAGCAAATGGTGCTAGAGCGACTGACCATCCATAGGCAACAGACCTCATCCTAATTTTCATATCCCATAAAAAATTAACTCAAAATAGGCCAGGCCTGGTGGCTCACGCTTGTAATCCCAGCACTTTGGGAGGCCAAGGCGGGTGGATCTCCTGAGGTCAGGAGGTCGGGACCAGCCTGGCCAACATGGTGAAACCCCACCTTTACTAAAAATACAAAAATTAGCCAGGCATGGTGGTGGGTGCCTGTAATTTCAGCTACTCGGGAGGAGGAGGCATGAGAATCGCTTGAACCCAGGAGGCAACCTGGGTTCAATCGCTCAACCAGGAGGCAGAGGTTGCAGTAAGCTGAGATTGTGCCATTGCACTCCAGCCTGGGTGAAAGAGCAAAACTCTGTCTCAAAAATAATAATAATAATAAAATAACTCAAAATGGTCACAGAATTAAAAGTGTAAAATGCTTAGAATAAAAACATAGGAGAAAAATCTTTATCTAAGACTAGGTGAAGAATTCTTAGACTTGATACCAAAAGCAAAATCTAAAATGAAAATTGATAAATTGGACCTCATCAGAATGGAAACTATTTGTTCTGTGAAAGATCATGTTAAGGAGATGAAGAGACAAGCTACAAATTTGAAGAAAATATTTGCAGACCACATAGCTAACAAAGAACTAGTACCTAGAATTTATATATTTCTCAAAACTCGAGTAAAAATTTTTAAAAGCCAGTTAGAAAATGAGCAAAAAACATGAACAGACATTTCACTGAGATAATATGGAGGTGGCTAAAAGCATATATAAAGACGTTCAATATTAGCCATTCAGGAATTATAATAAAAATCACAATTAGCTGTTGAAACACATCTACAGAATGACTAAAATAAGGAATATTGATAGCACCATATGCTGATGATGATGCAGAGAAATTGGATCACTCATACATTGCTGTTGGGGATATAAAATTTTTCTAGTCACTCTGGAAAAGAGTACGACAATTCCTTTCAAAAATATACAGGCATTGACTATACGATATAGCAACTGTACACCTAAACATGTATCCCCGAGAAATAAAAACTTGAATTTACTCAGAAATCTGCTCATGAATGTTCATATGTAATGCAAAATCTGGAAACAAATATCTTTCAGTAGGTGAACAGTTAAACAAAGGTGTTGTATTCTATATCAAAGAATACTATCCAGCAATGAAAGGAATGAACTATTGACACAAGCAACAACTTGGATGAATCTCAAGGAAATTATGCTAAGTGAAAAAAGCCAAAATAAAGAAGTTACGTGCAGTATAAATCAATTTATACAACATTCTTGAAATAAGAAAATTATAGAGATGAAGAACAATTAGTGGTTGACAGGAATTATAGAAGGAGGGAGAGAGGGAAGTGGTGGTCCCTCTAAAAGGGCAGAATGAGGGATCCTTGTGATGGAATCGTTCTATACATTGATCACGGGTATATTCACAAGGATCTACGTGTATGATAAAATTCCATAGTACTAAACACACACGCTCACCACACAATGAGTCGCATAAAACTGGTAAAATCTGCATATGGTCAGTCAACTGTATCACTGACAGTTTCCTGTCTGATATAGTTACGCAAGGTGTTACCACTGAAGCAAATCAAGTGAACAGATAATTTCTTACAACTCCATGTAAATCTACAAATATGTCAAAATAAAAAGGTTTTAAAAGCTATGAAAAGACAACAAAAACAAAAGCAAAACCTTACATCTGATTAATGCTTTTCATTTTGTATCTAACATCCCATTTCAAGAAAATGAAAAATATGCCTGAGCACAGGGCTCACATCTGTAATACCAGAGTTTTAGGAGGCTGAGTTGAGAGGATTGTTTGAGCTCAGGAGTTTGAGACCAGACTGGACAACACAGTGAGACTTCATCTCTACTAAAAAAAAAAAATTAAAAAATTAGTAGGCATAGTGACATAAACCTGTAGTCCCAGCTACTCCAGCTGCTGAGATGGGAGGATTGCTTGAGCTTGGGAAATCAAGGCTGCAGTGAGCCATGATCACTCCACTGCATTCCAGCCTGGGTGACAGAGTGAGACCCTGTCTCACCAAAAAAAAAAAAAAAAAGAAAAAAAAGAAAATGGAAGATACTAATGATTTCCTCCAAATGGAAAGTACTAAATATTTTCCTAACCAATTGGATGGATCTGGCAATTGGGGGATAGAAAAGTTAAGTGATTTACCTGAACCAGAGGACTTAATAATGGGTTCATGAAGCTTAACATTAAACTAAAACTAAACTTTACTTCAAATCCATAAATATGTTTATGTTTTTAAAAGCTTTGAAACAAAGTAAGAATATACAATAAAGCCATCAAATACGTTCTTCCAAATTGTTTGTAAGCCTTGGGAGATTGCCTGCTGTGTCATACAAATCAGGTTTTATGTAGATCCTTTACAGAAAACAGTTTCTGGAGATTGGCATAGAATGGAATGTAGGTATTGCCAGAAGGAGAGCACTAGCAGAACTTAATTTCTGTAGTCAATATTTCAACATGTAAGAAATAGGGGAAAGTGCTTGTAGGAGCCATCATAGGTAAGAAGAAATTTGAAGAATTTGGGCATAAAATTTAGGATATACCTGGAAGGAATCTAAAACAAACAAAAAACAGTCCACATCTAGTTCTTTGGAAATTAGATTTTAATTCTGTTGTTCTTATGCTTTTATGTTTTCAGGTGAATCTCAAAGAGACAAAAGACCAAATTCCAAGCTGTCAGTAAGGTGAAATGGAAGAGGAAGGCAGTGTCTTGAACTGCATTGTCCTGGTCCAGAGCCACCAGCCTCATGTGGGTGTTTGAATTAAACTTAAATAAAACTAAAATTCAGTTCCTCAGTTGGACTAGCACATTTCCAAGGCTTGACAGCCACATGTGGCTAGCGGCTATCATATTGGACAGTAAAGAAAGACATTTCTATCATCTCAATAAAGCATTGGACAGCTCCAATCTATATAATGAATGAAAACACTAAAAAGTCCCAATTTTTTTTTTTAATTTAAAAAGGACACCATTTTACAAATGACACATCGATGGATTCATATCCATAGCCTCCTAGAAGAGCAGGGTGGAGAAGACCCCGAATACTATCCTGTCAAAACACTTGTTACAGGCTTGAATCTTTCTTGTTACTGATGTCTAAACAGCCATGGCAAATAATTTTTATTTTCTTCATTCTTTTGCCGGTTAAAAGAAACATTTCTTTTATTTGAAACTGTTCTATAGCTATAAGTCTTTCATCATTCTGGCTGCTTACTGCTGAATTCCAGTCTGGGTTCCAATTTATCTATATCTCTAGTCAAATAACTTGTGCCAAAATTAAGTGCCATGTTCCAGGTGCGCAGAATATAGGAGGTTTATCTTTTTCCTTAGTCTAGATATTATGCATCTACTTTTACAGACTAAAATCACAAGTTGACTTTTAGTAACCCCACCAATAAATTTATTTGCAATTAGTTTTTAGTTAAATAAAACCCTGCAATCTGGTTAATGTGGCCCATTGCTCCATCTAATTGAAACGTTGTGTGTCCTATTTATAACCAGTCTACTTTTGAATACTTCTGGTGGAAAAATCATTAACCCTGATTTTATATCAGATGCAAAAGCGTGGCCTCCAACATCTTTCTCCATGTAACTATTAAAAGTGTTAATAATGGGGTCCAAGCGTATGTCTTTGGGAAACTCTACTCCCCACCCACCCCCCAGCCTAAGAATCATCACAGTTTGGACCCAACCATTCACAAGTCAGTTCAACTATTTAGCTGTCCAGTCCATGCTTCTCCATTTTGCCCACAAAGACATACCTAGTCACCCAGCTTTTATTGAATCTCCTGCAATACGCTTCACCTTTCCCAGAAAGTTAAAAAAGCAGAACTGAGATTTTTTGTTTAAGATGACTAGGGAGGTTTTTACAGCACAGAAGAGAACTCACCAACCCTGGAGAAGGGATGATGCACTTGAAGTATTGGCACCCCACAGTGGGCAACTCTAGCATTTCACGTTAAAACAATGCTGAAAACAATTTCTAATGGTTCTATTGATTTTCAAACAATAATAAAGGGTAGGGTCCTACTTAATTGAATCCTAATGAGTTTGGTATTTACCACAGTCCGTCACCAAATGCACTTCTTGTACAAAACTCTTTGAACTTGCTGTGGGAGAGGAGAACTCTCTGTTCTAAATGCTGCCTTCACCACTGTCCAGCTGGGATGTTTTAGAACCAAGTCTCTCACTGACTCATTCAGTCCAGAAACAAATAGAGGAAAATTTGCAGCACCTGATCCCAAAGCAGGTGGCTATGCATTAATGATGTAGCACGTGCCAAGATCCTGAAAGGAATGGTTCTAGAGAAATATTGCAGGACCTAATTATTTTTAATGTCTCTCCTAACTTGAAAGTGGTTTGTGTACATGACTTCAATTTTCAAAAGATACAATGCAGCCTGGGACTTTAAAACAGGGAATCTGGCAAATTAACTAATAAGTGTATGAACACATGTTGAAATGGCAAGGCACTAAATAGGCTGGCTTCTCCTACAGAAAAGAGTCATTTAACAGGAGTCAGTTAAGTCAATGTTTACTTTCCACGTAAGGAACTTTACATCACAAATGGGAGAAATAATTCAGCAGGTAGAAAAAAAGGGAAAAAACTTTCCAAGCAGGGAAACTTCCTTGGGTTGTTAATGTTTCTTGTTAAGATGGGTCTTGGAAAACAACCCATCTCAGATCAACATTCCTACATGTGGAGTTTGGATTCTTTTTTTCTTCCAGTAATCTTCAACTACAATGGGATCTATCTGACTATTATTGCAATGTTTAAAAACAGTACTGATCAGATTCCTTTCCAGTGGGACAACCAAGAAAAAATGGACTGCTGAAAAAAAAAATCTAGAGGTAAAATATGCAGACCTGTCAAGGGATGATGGCCCGAGCAGAGGTCTATGGACCGAGGGGATGGCAGCATGCAGAATAGAAGTAGGAGTGGAAGAGGCCCGGCACAGTGACTCACGCCTGTAATCCCAGCACTTTGGGAGGCTGAGGCAGGCTGGTCACAAGGTCAGGAGATCGAGACCATCCTGGTTAACATGGTGACACCCCGTCTCTACTAAAAACACAAAAAATTAGCCGGGCATAGTAGCGGGTGCCTGTAGTCCCAGCTACTTGGGAGGGTGAGGCAAGAGAATGGCGTGAACCTGGGAGGCGGAGCTTGCAGTGAGCCAAGATTGGGCCACTGCACTCCAGCCTGGGTGACAGAGTGAGACTCTGTCTCAAAAAAAAAAAAAAAGTAGGAGTGGAAGAAACAAAGAAGGCCTGAAGCAATAGGTATATCTGGCCTGAAATCTTCCTCTCTAGCTAATTCTTTGTGGCTAGGAGTGCTCACATCCGGGAAAAAAAAAAAACAAAAAAAACCCTGGAAAACAAAAAACCAACCAAACAGAAAACCCAGAGTGGATGTATGAACCATTATAGCTATCCTTCTCTTAACTGTTTGGTGCAGAACACTAAAAAATATAAAGTTTGGGAGAACATGTGTCCTATTACGTAATTCTTGGTATAATATTAATACTACCACAACATTAAATGGGACACAGTGTTTTCACAACAATATGATATTAGATGATACTCACAATGACCCTGTAGGATGGAGGATAATTATTTTTCCCACTTAACATTAAAGGAAAATAAGGCCCTGAGAGGTTTCATGTTGCCTAGAATCCCCCAAATAAGGAAGCGGAGCAAGAACCAGAACTGTTGGATGCCTGCTCTGGGTTACTTTTCAGGACTCTGTGTCACCACCTATCTCATGAGTGCTCTCCAGAGATACCCGGACGCACACAGGGACAGCCACACATTTGCATGCACGGCCCCTTGTGAATGGAGACAGGCTCCATACTGCTCACTTTCTTTCATTCCCCTGCACACTTAAGTTACTGTACCACAACACCCAAGACCCCCCAACATGTGCTGTTGCCCTGAAACTGGAGTTACTACTATATAAGTGTTCTAAACATAGGCTATTGTCCTGCCAGAAGACTCCTCCTCTGGGAGTCCCTGGAGCCCCCTCTAGGCTGTCCTGCCAGTGTGTGAGCCTGTACTCTCTTCCTCCTTAATATGCCTGGTAGCCTTCATCACACTACAGGCCTATAGCCAGCCCTGCTGAATTCAGGCTGGGGTTGGGGTGAATAGTAAGAAGAGTATCACACAGAGATAGGATCTAGAGGTGTAACATGTAAACAGAAGTGTTCTTAGTGTTCACAGTCGGAACTCAAGGTTATATTTTCCCACAGAATCCATGTGACTGATGCTGACTTGCTAATGAGATTCAATAATTCTGGGAGTATTTAGTAGCATCTTGGTTAAACATCTGCATTATATAGGGCTTCAAGGATGACTGCAAGACCCTAACCATCATTGATAATATTGTTTCTATGGGGAAATGTGTTTGAAGTTTCGTATGACAGCCCTCCAAAGAAATTCTAGCAAACAAACCCATTTGAAAGTTGGGCACTGCCTGTCTTCCAGCACTGGCTGTTCTCCCTCTCACTCTCTCCAACCTAACCTGTTTTCTTATATCCAACTTCTGGGTGGCCCATGAAGGCTATTGCTCCTCTGAGGCCACAGCAGGTGTAAGCAATGAGGAGAAGGTGAAAGTGCTGGGGAACAGTCCCAGCAGTAGAGGGAGGGGGGCAGGAGAGGGAAGAAGACAGAGTTGGAATCATCACCAGACAGCAAACATTGGGTGAGCCTACACTGTTGATAGGACACAGGCTTTTTACGGGAATCTAAAATGCAACTTTTAGGCAGGATGAATGTCATTAAGAAAGCACAGGCCGTGGCATGAGGCAGGCCTGGGGTACATTCTGTTTCTTATTAAAAATGATGATCTTAAGCTAAATACTTAACCTCTTAGAAGGTTCAGCTTTCTCATCTCCAAAATTGAGACGACATTACTTCTCAGGGTGTTTGTGAAGATCAAATTGTGTAAATGTGATTATTACAATCTTCAGCAGCATTTACCAGACAGTTGAATGTTGCTTTTTCTTACTTTCCTCCTTTGAGAGATGCAAGGTGGTACAGGGGAAAGATTAGAGTAAAAATAAGTGGATTTGAATTCTAGTCTCAGAATCAACCCCATGGAGGGGCTGGGCACACTCTCCGAGTTACTGTCTTCTGTGCTGTCCTCTGAGGACTTTTGCTGGTAGCAATGAATCAACATATGTGTGAATGGCTGCAATGAGCTGGTCAATAATTATCATTCACTGTTTTGACAAATGTGTGTTGAGTGCCTACTATAGGCCTGGCGCCACCTTAGAAACATGAATCCAGCCAAGGAGAAATAATCAAGGCAGGCCTGTTCTGTTAGATGGAGTGATCAGGGAAGTTTCTCTGAATAGATGAGATTTGAGCAGAGACCTCAGTGAGGAGTGGGAGTGAGCCACAGAAATATCCAGAAAGAGGCATCTAAGAAGAGGGAATAATCAGAGTAAAGGCCAGGCTGTCAGGGTCTGCTAGGGCCTGATTGAGACATTGCAAGGAGGTCCTCAGGGGTCTTCATGACTAGTGCAGGGAGCAAAAAGTATGGGCACGGGGCATGGACAGGGGAGGGCAGGACCAATGGTCTGTTGATATGTGCTCTGCAAACCGCTGGAAGGACTTTCTCCTAACTTCTAGGTACTCAAGCCCTTGGAAGGTCTTGAGTGAAGGAGTTTACATTGTGAAAAGCCACATGGAGAAGAAACTGGTAGCCCAAGGGTGAAGGCAGGCAAGCACTGGGAGGTGACTGTGGTCAGCAGAGCAGACCTGAGATGAGGCTCTGGGCCTGGGGTGGTGGCAGTTGGGGACACAGATGTATTCTGACTCAATGTGTGTGTGGTGAAGTAGAGCCAATTGGGTGTGCTCATGACGTGGTGGTGGAATGTGGGAGAAAGAAGGAAGCAGAGAAAGAATCAAATTGTTGTCCTTTTTACTCTAAAGATGATGCTAGTTACTGCAATGGGAGAATACTGGGGGAGAAATGGTTTTTGAAGGAAAGTCAGCATTCTATTTTGGATTGAGTTTGCCACATGCTACATGAATTGAGTTTTCTATATGCTTTTGGTGTCTGTGTGGAAATGTGATGCAGGCCCTGGAGCTAGGGAAGGGTGCAGGCCTAGAGAGAGACACTGGGGAGGCCTCCACAGAGTGATATGGGTGAAAGCACAGGGCCGGACATGGTCATCTGTGGAGTAGGAATGGAGGAAAGGGAGGAGAACCCACCATGACACTGCACAGCATTTTAGAGGTCTGAGGAAGGAGATGCCACTCCATGCATGGAAAGTGACATGACAAAAGAGGCCCTTTCTTACAAAAATTCTTTGTGTCCTTTTTTTTGTTACTGCTTTTGTTTTTCTTTTTATTAAAATAATTATGAAATATTTCAAAACATGCTGAATACTGAAAATAAAATAACTGACACTCCACCCAGATTTCTAACTTGTGAACATTTTGCCACTTTGCAATTGATGGCAGGCAAATCCCAAAATTGGGGCTCAGCCCAGGAGGGTTCTTGACTTTGCTCAGGAAAGAACTGAAGAATGAGCTGGCAATGAAAGAAGGCAAGTTTATTAGAGCAACAGTGTATGGCAAAGTGGCTGCTCCCCAGAGCAGGGTTCTTTCATAGGCAGAGCTGCCCAGAGCAGCAGCAGCAGCAGCAGCAGCAGTCCTTATGGATTGCTGGCTAGCTATATTTATACACAGTCTTCGTTATATGCTATTTAAGGAGTAGGTTATTCAGAATTTTCTAGAAAAGGGGTGGGGGAGTTCCTGGAACCATATAAGGAAACTTCTGGGTTGTTGCCATGGCATTTGTAAACTGTCATGGCACTGGTGGGACTGTCTTTATGCTTATTAGCAGTGAGGGCAAGAGGGTCACTTTTGTTGCTATCCGCTGGTTTCGGCTGGTGTCTTTGCTGCATCCTGCTTTGATTAGTAGGGTCATGATCGGTGCTCGGAATATAAGTCCTGCTGGTCTCCCATCTCACTATATTCATTTCAAAGACAACTAAAGTCATGCCCCCAAACCGCTAAAGTCATGCGGTCCAAACCGCTTCTTTTTCCTTCTCCAGGAGGCTTTAGTGAGCAATGAGAACAGTGCCTGGTGTGTGGGAAGTTCTCAGTGAAGGTCAGGAACTGTGGCGCCGCTGGAGGTGGTCTTTACCATTATGATGATATTGAGGTCAGTCTTTCCCATGCATTTTCTAGCTCTTACTGCATAAAGGTATCTCCATAACAATGCACAGTACAATTTTGTATGTTTTTCAAATTAATGTAAAGGGTAAATTTTTGTATTCTTTTGTATCTTTTTTTAATTCAACATTGTGTTCTTGAGTTTTTTTTTTTTTTTTTTACTGTAGCAAGTCAGACACAGTTTAGAATATAACGGTAATAGGAGGAGGAAACAAAATCTTTGCAGAGAGAGCAACATGAAGGTGCTTTGGAAGCCCCAATATGCCAGCTCTCCAGATGCCTTTTCTCCATCCCCTGCTCTTTTTCATTCCTTAACTGCAAAGCTATTGGAGAGAAAGGAGAGGATCATTCAATGTTGTGACAATATTAAATGCTAGCTTCACAGACCCTCAGGACAAGAAAGACCATGTGCCCTATAGCCCCCAACTGGAACATGCTTGCTCCCCTTCCCTGATAGGAGCCCTCCCATGGGTTGGGGATAGAGGTTCTGACCCTGGGGCAGCCCCACTTGACTCATGAACTGATGAGCATATTCACTTCTGCAAGCAAAGTAAAACTGAACATAGGAGCTATGCTTGCTGGTTACTGTTACTGTTCTATCCTCTCATGTTCCAATTACCTCTTTTATTTTTATTTCAGAGCCTTCACCGAACAGGCAATGTTTGGATTTAAGCTCTAAAGAAATGCAGGTAGACAGAGGGCACATTCCACATAAGAATCCAGGCATGGATTTTGAAGTAGCAGCTTGACCACTGTCATTGCAGAGCTTAGGCTAGAGGACAGGATTGGTTTTCAAGACTCTGATACCCATCTGTGACAGACGGGCAACTTCTGTGCTGGCAGTATCAAAGCAACCCCACCAAGAGACACGCTGGCCTCTCTGTGGCTGGATGGTTTCCATGGTGTGGGGGAGTTTTGTTATTGTTGCTTTTGTGAAGTTTAAGTTCTTGTGGCTTTTTCCCTTTGCCAGCCTTGCTTAAGACCAAAGGAGAGCTGGATGGTAAAGACTCCCCTGAGAATGGGCAAACGAGTTGCAGATCAAGTATCCTGGCCACAAAGACAAGGAGAGGATCAGGCCCGAAGCTCCAGGCCTGGACACGCCCCGGAGGAGAAATGAGCCTCGTGGTTAGTAACAGAGCCAAGCTTCCTTTGTCTAACCTTTCGCTGGAATTAAGAGCTTTTCACATTTCAGTTGACTTGAGAACAGACAGGGAGCCCCAAATCAGAAGCAGATTGGAGCTGGTGAGCAGGGAAATGACACTTCAGCCTCTAAAACGCAGCAGCTCTGTTTGTCCCTTGCTTCTGACCCCAGCAGCCTCTTTGCTCCCTCTCTTCTCCCTACTCCATAGAAGGCTTCTCTCCCCTTCTCTGAGACTCTGCTCTTAAAGCAGCAGGTGCCCGATTCCAGTGGACTCTCTCCACTGTGGAATGTATCAGAGCAGGGGCAGCACCTTCCCCAGCAACACACCCTATCACCTTTGATCCTTTGCCATTTGCACTATGGGTTTTCATTTGACCCAGCGGTCTGAGTTTGCTCCAGTATTTGTGTTTTTGTGTTTTTCTTTCCTATGCTTCTCTTTCCCTCCCTGCCCCTCCTTTATGCTGTGGCCTAAGTACACTGAGCTTCTTCCTTTGTTTGTATGACAGAGGATTCCTTTTCATTCGTCAGGATGTTAACTATGCATACCACAAAAAAATTGAAGCACAAAGCACCAAAAGAAAATGAAGATAGAAAAATCTAGTGGATTTGGAGGTGAAAGAAAGCAAACTTGCACCCAGTTTTCCAAACCTTAAACAGATTTATTTTCTTGGCCAAGTTCTCAGTTACTCACCACAGTGCTCTTATTTTGTGCCTCAAGGGATAGGCAAAAAGCTCTTTCCTGCTCAGCACTTACTTAATACTTAAAAGAAATACCCTTTCTTTCTCTAGCAATGCACTTGTTTTAACAGTGGAAATACAGGGCACCCAAGAGGTCAAACTCTCTAGAAACCTGGGGCCAATACTTACAAAGACTGATGCCCTGTGGGTGACTCAAAAACAACCCTGGAGTCAGAATTAACAACATTCTCCACATACTGTTTAAATGGTCACTCTTTGTCAGGAGCTGGGTACTTTCTGAAAACTGTTTCTGTAGCCTGCGGCAAGCCTGGGCTTTGGTTGTGAGGCCCAGAGGCTTAGCTTCTTCACCCAATGCTTGCAAAATGTTTATAGCAAACTCAAATACCTTCCACAGATTACTCCCATTCTCCATCTGATTTCTTCACCAGCTGTTCTCTGCCTGATTCATTGTGCAGATTTCTTTCTAGTGTTGTGGATATTCCCTAGTTACCTACCATAATGCTTGGTCTTACAGGTGTATAGCATGTTTGCAATGCTTGTTCATATGCTCCCAGGGAAAAAAAAATCATAAAATATAATCTTATGTGTAATTTTCCTGAATACTAAATGCTTTGCCCTAAACTTGAAGATAGTGTATCAGTTGAAGGATGCCAGGAATTACTTCACCTCATGTATATGTACCTGTTACAGATTATATTCATTTTCAAATTAATTTCAAAGCCAGCTGTTATTTTTGCTAAAAGTCATCCTTGATGGTATGCTTTAGCAACTACCATTTAAAACTTAGAGACAACTAGCCGTGCAATATGAGGATTTAAAAATGCAGTACTTGAGTTGTTTATTGTGGGTTTTACATTTTGAGCTTAAGTCTCCTTCTTAATATATTGTCTGTAGGCACTTAATAAAATAGATCTTTAAGGAAAAATAAAATAGCTTTACTATATATGTAACATGCATATTATAAATAAAGTGTTGGAACTTTTTGGTGATTTAGTTTTCCTTTATAAATACGGGCATGTAGGTATTCCTACAGCAATACTAACATTGAAATACGAGTTTCTATGCCATGGGGGCTTTTTTAGAAGTTCTAGCTGGGAATGTAAGCATCTATGTAACCTTAATCCAAAAAGAGGGCTCCTCTAACTGGGAAGGTTGCCTGTTTGGACCGTCGGATGGCTGAGGAGAATGGGTCGCCTGCCTGGCCTACTTAATGAGCTGAGTCCACTCTGACAGTCAGAGCTGGGAGAAAGCATCTTCTTCAAAGTGAGCACACATCAGATTCCCCCTCCATTTTTTCCCTTACTCATGTGGAGGGGTTAGGACTTTGAAGAAGTCAGGTTTTTCTTTTTCTTTATTTCATGGAATACGTTAAAAAACAGAAAGAAGTATCGAACCTATGCCATGTACTTCAAATGAAGCTTCCACAGAAAATTTGAAACCCTAAAAAGGTTCTTCATTTAAGCCACAGAGAGACACAAATATTCAAACTCTCCTAAGTAATGCTAAAAACAAGGCAGCTAGTGTTCCAACAAGGGCAAGACCTCACTTGTTTGTTATGTAGGACCCTTATCACTGTCAATTTTAGCTTGATGAAAGTACTACCATGTGTCACAGACAATGCCATATGTTCATCAAAAAAACAATTTATTTTCCCTCTGGGCATACAGAAAGACTACATTTCCCAGTTTCTTTTGTAATTAATTTTGGGCTATGAGTCTGAATTCTATCCAAAGAAATGCAAGTGAAGGTTGTGTATACTACTTCCAGGTCTGCCAGAATCCTCCCACCTCCTGCACAACCTTTAACATCTCTCTTCCCCCTTTACACTAACCCTGGGACCACATAGTGAAGATGGTGGCATTGCAAGACAGGAAGAGCTTGGGTTCCTGAAAGACTGCATGAAGCAGTCCCCTTTTTTCCATGACTATCTTGGTCTGTGACAGGCTGCAATGGTTTGAAGGTTTGTCCCCTCTAAAACTCATGCTGATATTTAATTGCCATTGTGATGGTATTGGGAGGTGGGGCCTTAAGAGGGCTCTGCCCTCATAAGTGGACTAATGCCAGTTATCAGGAGTAGGCTCACTCACTTCTGCTCTCTCTTTTTCTTGCTCTCACTTTTGTTGGCCCTTCTGCTTTCCACTATGGGATGACAGAACAAGATGTCCCACATAAGATACTGGCACCTTGATCTGGGACTTCCCAGCCACTAGGCTACAAACCAATAAAACTCTGTTTATTATATATTACTCATTCTTTGGTGTTCTGTTATAGCAGCACGAAACAAAGACACAGGAAGAAGCAAGAAATCATTACTTGAGATTTAGCGGTTGTTGTAGCAGCTTGCATCATGTACCCCAACGAATGCATACCATATTATATCATGTATGTTCTCTGTGTTGCTTATTTCCTACCTCAACCATAGCCATCATTTTAAGACAACAATTAAGAAAACTCCTTTATCTGCACAAGTGCTCTGTCTCTCTACCTGATGTTTTTCCCCTCCTCCCTCTGTTCTTGCCTCCCCAACACACACACATACCCATTTACCTTTATATAATCCTTTTCCAGCTTTGAAATGGCAAGCGGGCCTAACAGGAAAGATTCTTTGGATTTTAAGAACATCCATCAGCTTTACTGCTATAGACAAATTTCTTTCCTTAATGAGTTTTGTTTTTTGTTTTTTTTTTTGAGCAAGGAATATGGTTTGCCCTCTGAAGTCATAGAGTGAATTAATTTGAGGATTTAGCTAGCTACTTGTCATGAACCTGAATGAGAGAAAGGGAGAAATTTTTCATCCACTGCTCACTGTCATTTTCTCTCCTTCTGACTTCCACTTTCCCTAAATTGTTGCATTAATCTAGCCACTCCCCAGTCATCACCACTACAGTGTGAGTTCTTTTAGGAAAAGAACCAGTGCTTATTCATTTTTTATCCCTGATACTTGGAACCTACTAGGTAATCATTAAACGTTAGCTATTATTTAGCAATAAGATTAAAACCAGGAGACAAATGGCCTTAACTCTGTCAAGAGGCAGTAGGACAATTTCGTGGGACTAGGAGTGATGCCAGGCCCTTCTCTTAAGTCTGTCGCTATTTGAATCCCAGATTTGAAACTTAAGGGAAATAAAAATTTAAGTATACATGCCACCTCTTAATTTCTTTTCAAATACTTTTTTTCATTTTTCCTTCTCAAAAAAGGAGAAGGAAGAGGAAAGGAAAGAAAAGTAAATGAAAATTTTTAAGAGGTCCATTTTCTACTCAAGGATGAAAATGCACATCCCAAATGCTTATAAAATCTACCCCTTCCAACTACTGTTTATAATAAGCAGTGTAGTAGAGTTAGGTGGAGGAAAAGGAAAACTATGGTAGTAGAAATTGCATTTGCTGAGTACACATGTGAAACGACAGTTACCACCTTCATTCTCCAGTGTTAGGTTTTGAAATCGCCATAGTAGGAAATCCACTTTAAATATGTTTGCCTTTGGATCTATTTTTAAATGAAAAAAAAAATCTCAGTGCTTCTGGTGTATGTATGTAGTAGAGACAGTCTTAACCTAAGATGTTAAGAGAGGAGTCTGGGGACAATTTATCAGTGTCAGAACCCAACACCAGAAGAGAAATCGGAGTGACCTTTTAACAAAGGTTCTATTTTTAAGATCTAATTGACTTAGCCACTGGGATTATCTCTGGTATTAAAAGTTATTTAAGGGGGTTGCTCCATGAAATTCAAATAGGATGTATGGTAAATCATTACTAAGATGATACAATGGCAGCAAATATTTACTGATGCAAAACAAAAAGCTCTAGAATACCTGAGGGTTTGCCTGCTATGGTAGTGAGTTATGAGGGACATCACAATCAAGGCATGCTTGTGGCTTTTTCCTTGCAGCAAAATAAATAAGCAGCCCTTGGAGTCATCAGAACACCCAGGAGGACTTATAACCTATCCCTTCGGAATATTTAGTCAAACTCTTGCTTACTGATTCTTCACTTTCTCTGAATTTCCCACTCTTTCCTTTCCTAACTTGTGTTTCTAGCTGCCAACTCCCATAGTATTTCCCCATTTCCTTAACACTCTCATTTTCAATTTATTCCTTCCCCATATCTCTTTCAGGATTTCTCCACGTTCAACAATATGAGATTACCTCAGATAGGAGAGTCCACTGATGAGTGTACGTGTGAGTAAGGTAAAAAACAGTGCTCTACAAGGTTCCCTTGCAGCTCCTCAGGGACCTCAGTCTATCAATCATTTTCTCCCCTACATATGCAATTTCTCTTTCCTATTACAATATAACTAGGGTGAAGTATCTTCTATCTTAAAAGACAATGTTACCCAGACTTTAAACCAACAAAAGATCAAAAGGGACAAAGAAGGCCATTACATAATGGTAAAGGGATCAACTCAACAAGAAGAGCTAACTATACTAAATATATATGCACCCAACACAGGAGCACCCAGATTCATAAAGCAAGTCCTTAGAGACCTACAAAGAGACTTAGACTCCCACACAATAATAATGGGAGACTTTAACACCCCACTGTCAATATTAGACAGATCAACGAGACAGAAAGTTAACAAGGATATCCAGGAATTGAACTCAGCTCTGCACCAAGCGGACCTAATAGACATCTATAGAACTCTCCACCCAAAATCAACAGAATATACATTCTTCTCAGCACCACATCGCACTTATTACAAAATTGACCACATAGTCGGAAGTAAAGTACTCCTCAGCAAATGTAAAAGAACAGAAATTATAACAAACTGTCTCTCAGACCACAGTGCAATCAAACTATAACTCAGGATGAAGAAACTCACTCAAAACCGCTCAACTACATGGAAACTGAACAATCTGCTCCTGAATGACTACTGGGTACATAATGAAATGAAGGCAGAAATAAAGATGTTCTTTGAAACCAATGAGAACACAGACACAACATACCAGAATCTCTGGGACACATTTAAAGCAGTGTGTAGAGGAAATTTATAGCACTAAATGCCCACAAGACAAAGCAGGAAAGATCTAAAATTGACACCCTAACATCACATCAAAAGAACTAGAGAAGCAAGAGCAAACACATTCAAAAGCTAGCAGAAGGCAAGAAGTAACTAAAATCAGAGCAGAACTGAAGGAGATAGAGACACAAAAAACCCTTCAAAAAAATCAATGAATCCAGGAGCTGGTTTTTTGAAAAGATCAACAAAATTGACAGACCGCTAGCAAGACTAGTAAAGAAGAAAAGAGAGAAGAATCAAACAGATGCAATAAAAAATGATACAGGGGATATCACCACCGATCCCACAGAAATACAAATTACCATCAAAGAATATTATAAACACCTCTACGCAAATAAACTAGAAAATCTAGAAGAAATGGATAACTTCCTGGACACATACACCCTCCCAAGACTAAACCAGGAAGAAGTTGAATCCCTGAATAGACAAATAACAGGCTCTAAAATTGAGGCAATAATTAATAGCCTACCAACCAAAAAAAGTCCAGGACCAGACGGATTCACAGCTGAATTCTACCAGAGGTACGAGGAGGAGCTGGTACCATTCCTTCTGAAACTATTCCAATCAATAGAAAAAGAGGGAATCCTCCCTACTCATTTTATGAGGCCAGCATCATCCTGATACCAAAGCCTGGCAGAGACACAACAAAAAAAAGATAATTTTAGACAAACATCCCTGATGAACATTGATGCAAAAATCCTCAATAAAATACTGGCAAACTGAATCCAGCAGCACATCAAAAAGCTTATCAACCATGATCAAGTGGGCTTCATCCCTGGGATGCAAGGTTGGCTCAACATATGCAAATCAATAAACATAATCCAGCATATAAACAGAACCAAAGACAAAAACCACATGATTATCTCAATAGATGCAGAAAAGGCCTTTGACAAAAATCAACAGCCCTTCATGCTAAAAACTCTCAATAAACTAGGTATTGATGGGACGTATCTCAAAATAATAAGAGCTATTTATGACAAACCCAGAGCCAATGTCATACTGAATGGGCGAAAATGGGAAGCATTCCCTTTGAAAACTGGCACAAGACAGGGATGCCCTTTCTCACCACTCCTATTCAACATAGTGTTGGAAGTTCTGGCCGGGTGTCAGGCAGGAGAAAGAAATAAAGGGTATTCAGTTAGGAAAAGAGGAAGTCAAATTGTCCCTGTTTGCAGATGACATGATTGTATATTTAGAAAACCCCATTGTCTCAGCCCAAAATCTCCTTAAGCTGATAAGCAACTTCAGCAAAGTCTCAGGATACAAAATCAATCTGCAAAAATCACAAGCATTCCTATACACCAATAACAGACAAACAGAGAGCCAAATCATGAGTGAACTCCCATTCACTATTGCTTCAAAGAGAATAAAGTACCTAGGAATCCAACTTACAAGGGATGTGAAGGACCTCTTCAAGGAGAACTACAAACCACTGCTCAACGAAATAAAAGAGGACACAAACAAATGGAAGAACATTCCATGCTCATGGATAGGAAGAATCAATATCGTGAAAATGGCCATACTGCCCAAGGTAATTTATAGATTCAGTGCCATCCCCATCAAGCTACCAATGACTTTCTTCACAGAATTGGAAAAAAACTACTTTAAAGTTCATATGGAACCAAAAAAGAGCCCACATTGTCAAGACGATCCTAAGCCAAAAGAACAAAGCTGGAGGCATCACGCTACCTGACTTCAAACTATACTACAAGGCTACAGTAACCAAAACAGCATGGTACTGGTACCAAAACAGAGATATAGGCCAATGGAACAGAACAGAACAGAGCCCTCAGAAATAATACCACACATCTACAACAATATGTTCTTTGACAAACCTGACAAAAACAAGAAATGGGGGAAGGATTCCCTATTTAATAAATGGTGCTGGGAAAACTGGCTAGCCATATGTAGAAAGCTGAAACTGGATCCCTTCCTTACACCTTATACAAAAATTAATTCAAGATAGATTAAAGACTTAAATGTTAGACCTAAAACCATAAAAACCCTAGAAGAAAACCTAGGCAATACCATTCAGGCTGTAGGCATGTGCAAGGACTTCATGACTAAAACACCAAAAGCAACAGCAACAAAAGCCAAAATTGACAAATGGGATCTAATTAAACTAAAGAGCTTCTGCACAGCAAAAGAAACTACCATCAGAGTGAACAGGCAACCTAAAGAATGGGAGAAAATTTTTACAATCTACCCATCTGACAAAGGGCTAATATCCAGAATCTACAAAGAACTTAAACAAATTTACAAGAAAAAATCAAACAACCCCATCAAAAAGTGGGTGAAGGATATGAACAGACACTTCTCAAAAGAAGACATTTATGCAGCCAAAAGACACATGAAAAAATGCTCAGCATCACTGGCCATCAGAGAAATGCAAATCAAAACCACAATGAGATACCATCTCACACCAGTCAGAATGGCGATCATTAAAAAATCAGGAAACAACAGGTGCTGGAGAGGATGTGGAGAAATAGGAACACCTTTACACTGTTGGTGGGACTGTAAACTGGTTCAACCATTGTGGAAGACAGTGTGGTGATTTCTCAAGGATCTAGAACTAGAAATACCATTTGACCCAGCCAAACCATTACTGGGTATATACCCAAAGGATTATAAATCATGCCGCTATAAAGACACATGCACATATATGTTTATTGCGGCACTATTCACAATAGCAAAGACCAATGGAACCAACCCAAATGTCCATCAACAATAGACTGGATTAAGAAAATGTGGCACATATACACCATGGAATACTATGCAGCCATAAAAAAGGATTTCATGTCCTTTGTAGGGACATGGACGAAGCTGGAAACCATCATTCTCGGCAAACTATTGCAAGGACAGAAAACCAAACACCACATGTTCTCGCTCATAGGTGGGAAGTGAACAATGAGAACACTTGGACACAGGATGGGGAACATCACACACTGGGGCCTGTTGTGGGGTGGGGGGAGGGGGGAGGGATAGCATTAGGAGATATACCTAATGTAAATGATGAGTTAATAGGTGCGGCACACCAACATGGCACATGTATGCATATGTAACAAACCTGCATGTTGTGCACATGTACCCTAGAACTTAAAGTATATTTAAAAAAAGATAATGTTACCTTGGAAACAAATTTCCTATTTGCTGTGGTACTGTATCTCTTACCCTCCTTCCTGCAAAGATTCATCTATATTCCCTGCCTCCACTGGCTCACTTCCCATTTACTCTTCAATCCATTAAGATCCCAATTCCAGTGTTTATCTCCAGTGTTGAAGATACTCTCACAGGTACACATATACTTCTACATTATTAATGTCCATGATACAGGCTTTAAAACATGAAGCATCTTCCACAGCCACTGCCCCTTTTTGAGGAAAGCAGTCCTTACCAGTTCTTTATGAAGAAGTAGTCATGTTCTGGGTACCATATTACTTTGTTTCCCTGGCTACAGCTGACTGGGCCCCAGGGGGGTGAGGCAACACAAGTGATTCAATAGCTACCAATCTATGGACTATGAGGTCCCTCTCTAATTAGAAACATGGGGATAAACTAGGCCAATCAGATTCTCTCTTGAAAGAGCTGGTCTAGAGATGGTAATATGGAAGTGCATCCAAGGTGTGTAGACCTCCATAGAGTAACAAAGAATTAGGTTGATGGCAGACTGCCTGTAGACAGACCAGGGTGCACCTCCTATTGAGGATGTAACAAAATATCCTGATTGCAAGAGTTGCGTTATATCCTGAGCTCCTAGTTTCTGAACTGCAGTCCATTCTTTATGAGGCCTGGCATTCCTTGGTTCCTATTCTCTCAGAACCTGGTTGCATGAGTAGAGTTTCTGTCTACTTCATTTTCTGAGTGTATAGTTATAATTAAGCAAATTGATTTCTTGATTTCTTTGTCAAGAGAACCTGAATGAACATTTCTTAGCTAGCAAAAAGCCCACCTAGCAACCATTATATTACATGTGTAATATTTGACTCTGCAGATCACTACCTCCTTCTAGAAGTTCTCTCTCTCGGCTTATGTAATACAACTCTTCCAGATGTTCCTTCTACTAATGAAGCTATTTCTTCTCTTCCTTCCTGCCATCTCTATTTACTCATTTCAACCCTTAAAAATGGTTCTTCCTCAGGCATCCCATTGCCTACTTTTGTTCAGTCTATATACTCTGTCTGAAGAACTATATATATGTTCATGGCTCCAACCTCCATTTGAATCCTAATGACAGTTGTTTGCTGGATACCTTATCTTCTTTTGGATGTACCACAAGATCCTCAAATTCCACATGGTTAAGACAAAAATTATCATTATTTTGCATAAAATAGCTCTTTGTCTTGTATTCCTTCCATCAATAGTTGATATAATTGTTATCCTAAATCCCCCAGTGAGTAACCTGATTCTAAGTCCAGTCACTATTCTTACTTACTCCATGATTTAACTTCTCTCCAGTATGTCTTCACTACTCCCGGCCTCTATCACTGCTTATTCAGGGTTTTTTCCCCCGACTCCCCAGTGACTTGGGTGTTCCTGCTCTGTGTTCTCATAGTATCTACTGAATACCTCTTTCAAAGAACCACCTATTGTACTGAGAGGGTTGACTTTCTCATCTGTCTCCTCCAAAAATGTAAGTTCCCCATGGGTAGAGGACCAGTTTTAAAATCTAACACAATGCTGGCCAACTATAGGTACTTACTACTATTTTTTGAGTGGATAAATAAGTAAAAAGTCAGAATTGCCTGTACCATACACAAAAATGAAGAAGATCCAGCCTTCAAATTATATCAAAACCAACTCAACTAAGAATGGGAAATGTGATATTGGACAATAGAAGTGTTGGTTTGTAATCTCCAAACTTCTCCCCAAAGACACTACAGACAAACACTTTTAACTTAACTCTATTCTCATCATCTTCTTATACTCTTTCTTTACAATATCTTCATGCAACTCTTATTTGACTTCTCACTTGTATACTCCTACCAAACCAAGCCCTGGTTCTGGAGTTAATGGCCATAGCTAATATTGCAGAGTTGTGATAACTTCACCTATTAAGATTCTGTTCATTCCATATGTACAGAGGCCTTTACTTTGCATACAATGGGCTTGCTAAAGAATAACCTTAGTAACCTCTTTAGCCTTAAAATTGACCAACTACCCCACCCCATCCCAGATGGCAGATGAGAGGCTTTTAGTTTGCCTCAGCCACTTGGAGATAGCAAGACAATGCATAAAGATCAACTCTGTGAACTTTCATTCAAGAAGGAAAATAGGAATCTACTGGAATCTTGAAGAACAAACCAGAATCCAGGGAGAAAAATGCCAGCAAACAGCCCCTGTGATGGTGTCTGGCTGATAAAAATGAGTAAAACCCCAGTACATGAGAGAGGCAGAAAGCCTCCCTCTGAAGCTCACCTTTCCAGTGGAGATCCAAGCAACCCAGGCCAAGGGGGAACACTTTGTTTCTCCCAAGCCCTAGTGCTAACTTGGGGAAAGGATTGAAGATGTTGTAAGAGAAAGACACCACAAAAAGCTCAATACATTTTCCCCAGGCTAGCCTAGGACCAAGAGCAGGGTGCCATTTTTAATGCAGGACCACATAAAGTCAAGAATTCTTTGCTGACCTAGCAGCATGACTGTGTTGGTATTTTAGTCTTGGACCAGAGGCTGGAGCAAGACTTGCTTTGGAGTGGGGTAGGGGCCTCCACAGCCCGAACTGTAGAAGGCACCTCAGCAGTAGGTGCTAGAATTGTGCTCCTCACATTGCAAGCCTCAGGCAGAAGGAGAGCTGCTACAGCTGTAGTTTCTCTTGGGCAGTGAGACTTGCCAGCTTGGCAACGTGGAACTGGTCTGCATCTACCATTGCTGGGTGCCCCAGCTTGCTCCTCTGAGATTGTGGTATAGCAGGGCACTCTCCATTTCACCCTCAGGCAGAAATCCAGGCATTTGGAGCACCCACTTGTGTGGTTTCGCAGCCTGAGCCGCACCACCCTTCCTGGGCATAGACTGTGGTACAGCAGAGCTCTTGCCGCTCCATTCACAGGCAGACATCCAGGCATTCAGAGCACCCACTCACCTGTATCAGCAGCCTGACATGCCCCATCCTTCCTGTGCAGAGATCCTGGTACAGGGAGGCCCTCTCTGCTTCACATGCAGGCAAATCTCCAGGCATTTAGAGCACCCACTCATTTAGTTCAGCAGCCTGAACTACCCCACCCTTCCTATGCAGAGATCCAGATGCAGAGAGGCCCTTTCTGCTCCATGCCCAGGCAAATCTCCAGGATGCTTGCCTTAGTCATCCTGCCCCTCCCGAGCAGAGAACTTGGTGTAGGGAGACCTTCTCTGCTCCACACTCAGGCACATCTCCAGGCATTCACATCACCCACCCAACTGGAACAGTGGCCTAAACTTCCCCAGCCTTCTTGTGCAGAGATCCTGGGTGCAAGGGGCCCTCTCTACCCCATAACCAGGCAGACCTCCAGGCATCTGGAGTACCTATTCTCCTAGGAGTTTAAACTACCCCTCAGTCCCACATAGAGAACTTAGGCCAAGGAGGTTTCCCAGCACCATGCCTAGGCACACCTCTGGGTGCTCAGTGGCTGCTCACTGTACCCACCCTCAGCACTGGTGCTCATGCCTGCCATCGGGGCCCCTGGAGGAGGACCTGCCTGGTCTAGCCCTGCCCATCTTGGCCCCCAACCCCACAGGGCTGAGGAGGGAGCTCAGACCACTGTGCACTCCACAGCTTAGCCCATTGCCTGAGGAAACAGAGGGCTTCTCCTAGTAAGCAAGGATCAAGTATATATCCAACCATGTTGGCTGCAGCTGGCTCTTACCTATAAGCGCCATCTACAAGCTTGTAGGTCAAACTGCAGAGCCCAATATAAAACCTGCCATCAGAAGTGCATGGGGCTATAGAAACAAAGCCAAAAGACCCTACCCAGCATTCTCTACAGTCACATCACCTAGGAAGGGAGGGAATGGTAAAGAAAAAAATAATATTATAGGCAAGAAAGAAAAAGAAAAATCCTACCCACACTAAAATAATTATAAAAATTAGAAGTGCTAGCATCTCCAGATGAGAAGGAACCACTGCAAGAATTCTGGCACCATGAGGAATTTGAATGTGGTGACAGCATCAAAGGATCACACTAGCTCTCCAGCAATGGCTCCTGACAAAAATGGAAACTCAGAAATGACAGATTTGAAAGCATGGATTGCAAGGAAGCTCAACCTCCAAGACAAGGTTGAACATCAACACAAAGAAACTTCTAAAGCAATCAAGGAAATGAAGGAAGAGGTAAACATCTTTAAAAAAAAAATCAAACAGAGCTTCTGGAATTTAAAACCTCACTTAAGGAATTTCAAAATATAATTGACAGATTTATCAATAGACTGGACCAAGCAGAAGAAAGAATTTCAGAGCCTGAAGACTGGTCTTTCAAACTAACCAAGTCAGACAAAAATAAAGAAAAAAATAATTTTAAAAAATGAATAAAGTTGTCAAGAAATATTATGTAAAGTGACCAAACTTACAAATGATTGGCATTCCTGAGACAGAAGGAGAAAGAGTAAATAACCTGGAAAAAAAAATTTGAGGAAATCATTCAAGAAAATTTCCCTTATCTTGCTAGAGAGGTACACATCCAGATACAAGAAATCCAGAGAACACCTGCCAGATACTACACAAAATGACTGTCATCAAGGCATACAGTCACTAGGCTATCCGAGGTCGACACTAAAGAAAAAAATCTTAAAAGCAGCTCACTTACAAAGGGAGCCCCATCAGGCTAACAGTGGACTTCTCAGCATAAACCTTATAAGCCAGGAGAGATTGGGGGCCTATTTTCAGCATTCCTAAGGAAAAAGAGTTCCAACCAAGAATTTCATATCCCACCAAACTAAGCTTCATAAGTGAAGGGAAAATCTTTTCCGGGCAAGCAAATGCTAAAGGAATTCATTACCACTAGACAAGTCTTACAACAGTTCCTTAAGAGAGTTCTAAACATAGAAATGAAATAATGAAAACTGCTACCACAAAAACACACTTAAGGACATAGCCCACAGACCCTATCAAGCAGCCTCACAATAGAAACTACAAAGCAACCAACTAACAATTTCTCGATAGGATCAAAACCTCATCTATCAATATTAACCTAGAATGTAAATGGTCTAAATGCTTCACTTAAAAGGCAAAGAGTGGCAAGTTGGATAAATAATACCCATCCATCTATTGTCATCAAGAGACCTATCTTACACATAAGGCTATCTTACACACCCATAGGCTCAAAGTAAAGACTTGGAGGAAGATCCACCACACAAAAGAAGGCAAAAAGAGAGCACAAGTTGCTTCCCATCTTTATATCAGCCACAATATACTTTAAACCAACAACAGTAAAAAAGGACAAAGACAGGCATTACATAATGATAAAGAGTTCAATTCTATAAGAAGATTTAACTATCCTAAATATATATACATCCAACATTGGACCACCCAGATTCATAAAACAAGTACTTTTAGACATATGAAAAGATGTACACAGCCACACAATAATAGTGGGGAACTTCAACATCTCACTGACAGCATTAGACAAATAATCAAGGCAGAAAACTAACAAAGAAATTCTGGACTTAAATTTCACAGTTGACCAAATGGACCCAAAAGACATCTACAAAATATGCCATTCATTACCACAGATGATACATTCTTCTCATCTATACATGGAACTTACCTAAGATTGACCACATGCTTGTCCATAAAGCAAGTCTCAATAATTTTTTTAAAAAATCAAAATCAAACCAACCACACTCTGGGACTACAGTGGAACAAAATTAGAAATCAGTACGAAGAAGACCTCTCAAAGCCAAGGGCAAATGAAAGAACTTGCCCCTGAATGACTTCTGATTAAATAATGAAATTAAGGCAGAAATCAAAAAATTATTTGAAATAAATGAAAATAGAGTCACAACCTACCAAAATCTCTGGGACATAGCAAAAACAGTGATAAGAGGAAAGTTTATAGCACTAAAAACCTACCTCAAAAGGTTAGAAAGATCTCAAATTAACAATCTAATCTCACACCTAGAGGAAGTAGAGAAACAGGAACAAACTAACCCCTAATCTAGCAGATAAATAACTAAAATCAAGGCAGAACCAAACAAAACTGAGACCCCAAAATCCAAACAAAGAATTAGTAAAATCCAAAGTTGGTTCTTTGAAAGGATAAACAAGATCAATAGACTGCTAGCTAGATTAACAAAAAAAAGAGAGAAGATCCAAATATGTACAATCAGAAATGACAAAGGTGACATTACAACTGATCTCATAGAAATACAAAAGATCCTCAGAGACTAATATGCACACCTCTATGCGTGCAAACTAGAAAAAAACTAGAGAAAATGAATAAATTTCTGGAAACACATAACCTCCCAAAATCGAATCAGGAAGAAGTTGAAACCCCAAACAGACCAATATCAAGTTCTGAAATTGAAGCAATAATTTTAAAAACTACCAATCAGAAAAAGCCCCAGACCAGATGAATTCACAGCTGAATTCTACCTGATGTACAAAGAAGAGATGGTACCAATTCTACTGAAACTATCCCCAAAAAATCAATGACTGTGGTCCCATTCTATGAATCTAACATCACCCTGATACCAAAACCTGGCAAAGACACAACAAAAAATGAAACCACAGGCCAATCATCAACAAAATATTAGCAAACCAGATCCAACAGGACACAAAAAAAGTTAATTTGCCATGATCAAGTAGGCTTCATTGCTAGGATGCAAGGTTGACTCAACATACACAAATCAATAAATGTGCTTCACCACATAAACATAAAATCAAAACCAAAAACCATATGATCTCCATGGAAAAAGCTTTCAAAAAAATCCAACATCCCTTCATGACAAAAACCCTCAAGAAACTTGGCATTGAATGAACATACATCAAAATAGTCATAGCCATCTATGACAAACCTACAGCCAACCTCATACTGAACAAGCAAAAACTGGAAGCATTCCCCTTGAGAACTGGAACAAGACCAGGATGTCTACTCTCACCACTCCTATTCAATACAGTACTGGAAATGCTAGCCAGAGCAATCAGGCAAGACAAAGAAATAAAATATATCCAAATAAGAAAAGTAGTCAAACTATCTCTCTTTAAGGACGGTATGATTCTACACCTAGAAAACCCAAAAAACTCCATCACAGGCTCCTGAAACTGATAAACAAGTTCACTAAAGTTTCAGGACACAAAATCCATGTACAAAAATCAGCAGCATTTCTATACACCAATAATGTTCAAGCTGAGAGCCAAATCAAGAAAATAATCCCATTTACAAAAACCACCACACACAAACAAAATACCCAAGACTACATCTAACCAAGGACAAAAAAGAGCTCTACAAGGAGAACTATAAAACAGTGCTAAAAGAAATCATACATTAAACAAACAAATGAAAAAATATTCCATACTCACGGATTCTAAGAATCAGTATCATTTAAATGACCATAGAGCCCAAAGCAATCTACATATTCAATGCCATTCCTATCAAACTATCAACATCATTTTTCACAGAAGAGAAGAAAAAACTATTCTAAAGTTCATATGGAACCAAAAAAGAGCCCAAATAGCCAAAGTAAGCCAAGCAAAAGGAACAAAGCTGGAGGCATCACATTACGTGACTTCAAACTATATTATAAGGCTACAGTAACTAACAAAAACAGCATGGTATTGGTACAAAAACAGAAATATAGAACAATGGAACAGAATACAGAATGCAGAAATAAAGTTGCATACCTATAGCCATCTGATCTTCCTCAAAGTTAACTAAAATAAGCAATGGGGAAAGGATTCCCTATTCAATACCTGGAACTGGGATAGTTGTCTAGCCATATACAGAAGAATGAAACTGGAACCCTACCTTTCACGATATACAAAAATTAACTCAAGATGGATTAAAGATTTAAATGTAAGACCTCATACTATAACAATCCTACAAGAAAACAGGAAATGCCATTCTAGACATTGCATTTGGGAAATAATTTATAATTAAGTCCTCAAAAGCAATTGCAACACAAACAAAAATTGAAAAGTGGGACCTAATTAAAATAAGAGCTTCTGCACAGCAAAAGAAATATCAACAGAATAAACAGATGACCTATGGAATGGGAGAAAATATTCACATACTACACATCCAACAAAGGTCTAATACCTAGAATCTATAAGGAACATAAACATTTGAGCAAGTAAAATACAAATAACCCCATTAAAAAATGGGCAAAAGACAGCAACAGACACATCTGTTGAAGACATACAAGTGGCCAACAAACATATGAAAAAATGCTCCACATCACTAATCATCAGTGAAAGGCAAATCAAAACCACAATAAGATACTATCTCACACCAGTCAGAATGGCTATTATTAGAGTCAAAAAACAACAGATGCTGGTGAGGCTGCAGAGAAGAAGGAACATTTATACATTGTTGGCGGGAATGTAAATTAGTTCAGCCACTGTGGAAAGCAGTTTGGAGATTTCTCAAAGACCTAAAACCAGAGCTTCCATTTGACCTAGCAATCCCATTACTAGGTATGTATCCAAAAGAAAATAAATCTACTTGGGAGGCTGAGGTGGGAGGATTGCTTGGGCCTGGGAGGTTGAGGCTACAGTGAGCCATGATTGTGCCATTGCACTCCAGCCTGGGTGACCAAACCAGACCCTGTCTCAAAGAAAAAAAAAAAGAAAAGAAATCATTCTACCAAAAAGACAGATGTGCTCATATGTTCATCACAGAACTATTCACAATAGCAAAGTCATGGAATCAACCTAGGTGCCTATGAAAGATGGATTAGATCAAGAAAATGTGGTATATATACACCATGGAATACTACATAGACATAAAAAAGAATGAAATCATGTACTTCGCAGCAACATGGATGCAGCTGGAGGCTATTATGCTAGGCAAATTAATGTCAGGACAAAAAAACCAAATACCATATGTTCTCACATATAAATAAGTGGGAGCCAAACATTGGGTACTCAGGAACATATGGCAACAATAGAAACTGGGGGCTACTAGAGAGGGTAGGGAGGTTGACAAGGGCTAAAAAACTAACTGTTGAGTACTATGCTCAGTACCTGGGTGATGGGATCATTCATATCCCAAACCTCAGCATCACACAACATACCCAGATAACAAACCTGCACATATACCCCCTGAATCTAAAATACAAGTTGAAAAAAACATTGACCTACTATCTTCATGAGCTGTTGACTCAAAAGGAAGGATTTGTGAAAGAGCTTGAGGAACCAAAACCTAGTATGGTACTTCTTTAACCATACTAGGTTAAAGTAACCTCTTTAAGTTAATTCTAGATTCTGCTGATGGTAGAAAAATAAGTTACTTTTTTGGGTGTGTGTACGTGTGTGTGAAAGAGAGAGCACACACACACACTTGTATATATAGAATAAAATATAGTGTTACCATTGCCCATTTTGATTTGCCCACACTAATAGAAAATATCATTGGCATATATGGTAAAAAATAACAGATATTGTAAAGTTTACTTCAGAAGGAAAAATCATAGATGGAAACACCAAATATGAGCTAAAGCTGACTTAGCACTTACAATATTCAGGTAGTATTAAGCACTTCACAAGCATTATTTTATGTAATCTTCATAACAACCTTGTTTATAAGAGAAAACTGAGGCTCTGCTGCATTTGAGTCATCTTTGCAAGTAACAGAACTAGGGTTGAAAATCAGGTATGTTAATTTGCAAAATCCATGTTTTTGATAGCAATAACCCACTACCTGCCAAATTTATCTTGTCCAGTCCAACTTCCCAAGTTTCCAGATGAGAAAACCGAGGCCCAACAGTATAAAATGTTTGACCAAGGTCCACAGTTCGTTAGGTACAGAGTCAGGAACAGGCATGAATTGTCTGGGGGTATTTTGCCTTGTCATTGAAATATATGACTCCTGGAGACAAATATTAACAAGTAAAAGGACAAGTCTGGGAAGTGAGCAAGATAAAGTCATATGCTTTCCTCTTCTGCCTAACTCTGGAATGGCCTGAATTCTGTTTCTCATAAAATCTCCAAGAGACAACAATTACATTCATGGGAAGGAAAACAATCTGTCTGAATGACACACACAAGAGATATTTTTGTATAAAAGCAGGGAATGGGGCAACTTATTGCCTCTTAAAGATCAAAAGGCCCTTGGAGGAATGTTCTTCCTTACCACCAACCAGTTCCTTATCCCAACCCACAGCTGACTGACTTCCTTATTAGGTTTGGACAATGGAAGGACAAAGAATTTAAACCAACTGGGCTTTGTGAAACTGCAGAAGAGTAAGTCTTGGGGAATGGAGGCAATGTCCCCAGGGAGCATGGCTGGAAGTGGACCAGTTGGGCTGTGAGGGAGGAGACAGTGCCCAAGCATATGCATACCTCTTTGCAGATAATCCAGCCTTGGCTGAATACAGTTCTTGCAAATCCAAGCATTCTTCATTTTCCAGAAGGCTATTCCCATTTATTCAGACTGTCCAGGCTTCCGCTGCTGGGATGTCTGATGGCCTCTGTCTTCAGGTGAGGCCAGGGGCCAGTCTCAAGGGCAGAGTCCTTCAGGTTATCCTTGAAATTAAGCAGCTTTCTCAGGCCTGAAATCCACTGCCAAGTCTCTTGGCTGCCCTCACCTGCTCTTGTGCTTTCCTTATTGACAAACAGGGTAAGGGTGGAGTAGCCATGTGTGATAGTTAATACTGAGTGTCAACTTGATTGGATTTAATGATGCAAAGTATTGTTCCTCGGTGTGTCTATGTGGGTGTTGCCAAAGGAGATTAATATTTGAGTCAGTAGATTGGGAAAGGCAGACCCACCCACCCTCAATCTGGGTAGACACACAAGTGAGGCCAGAATAAAAGCAGGCAAAAGAACATAAAAAGGCTAGACTGGTTTAGTCTTCTGGCCTGCATCTTTCTCCTGTGCTGGATGCTTCTTGCTCTCAAACATTGGACTCCCAAGTTCTTCAGCTTTGGGAATCGGACTGGCTTCCTTGCCCCTCAGTTTGCAGATGACCTATTGTGGGACCTCACCTTGTGATCGTGTGAGTCAGTACACCTTATAAACTCCCCTTTATATATACATCTATCCTCTTAGTTCTGTGCCTCTAGAGAACCCTAACTAATACACCATGGGACATGTCCAGTGTAGTCAGATAGCCCTTCCATCATAACTCAGACTGTCCCCAAGTTAGCCTCATCATGGTTCTGAGCCTCTGTTTGTCCAGCTTCTTCCTGTAGATGCTTTGTCAAGGGCCATCATCCTTTCCTAAATCTCAGCTTTTTGACTGCTTTATTTGTACAGCCTAGGCCTTGGACACTTTCACCTGTTTCTGCGGAGAAACTGAGTAATTGCCTCCAGACTCTACGGGCTGTGGAAACCTCTTCTCTACCCATCCCCCTTCTCACTTGTCTTAGTTTATTGCAGTTTTATCCTGTGAGACCTCACGTCAAAATTTCTTGTTCTAGAACATTAAGCATGATGGTTTGACAGGTGCAACAAACCACCATGGCACCTGTTTACCTATGTGACAAACCTGTACATCCTGCACATGCACCCCAGAACTCAAAATAAAAATAAAAAAATAATATAAATGTTCTCTGAAAAATGTAAATAACATTGGACTATAACTTCTTAATGATTCTCTCTAACTTCTGGGACTGTAAAGAAATAAAGCTACTGCAACTGCTACTGCTACTACTACCACTACTAACACTACTGCTATTACCAATTAGCATCTTTTGAGTAATGAACATTGTGTTAAGTGCTTTACATGCATGAACTCACTCAATCGTACAACTTTAGAAGGTGGGTAGTGAATATCCTCCTTATTTTAATTTTATAGGTCTGGAAACTTATATATAAAGAGGTGAAGCCAGAGACTGCCAAGTGCTGTGCACATGGAGCTGCATGGAGACCATGCTGCATCCTCTGAGATACAGATTCCCTCATCCTCAGGGCAGCTGGGTAGAGCCTAGTTGAAACCCCCAGCCTCTACCTCAGCTGACCCCATTTGTTCATTCCAAGGTTCCGATCCCAGCATTTGTACCAATATTATTGATTTTAATATATTCTATTACATTGAATATATTGTGAAGGACCAGTTAAAGAAATTTGGTTGAATGGTAGAGTCACTCTGAATACAAATATGTGGAAATTAGAACCTGATTTCAGAATCAATATTCATGATGATGTTTTTCCTAACAAAACAAATAAAAGGGGGAAGAGAGGAAAACCAAGGATGGGTATAAGACAACAAGATCATTCAGAACCACCATAATTCCTCTAATGTTATAAAATGTAGGGAAAAAAGTAAAAAAGATAAGCAAAGAGAGGAAAATCAGGTTGACAGGGAAGATTACAATGATAATGGTTGAGAAGGGAACACTAAGGCTGACTTGAATCTCAATGTTCAAAAAATTCCTAATGAGGATTTCACTCTAAACATTCATATAAATATGAACAAGATAAAAGAGATTTAAAGCAGGGTGGATTTAGGGTTGAACATCTGTAAGTCTTGCCCATGTCAGGGTTTGATAAAACCCTGAAATGGGCTACTCAGGACCACCTGGGAACCTTTGAGAACAAAACTCCACCAACGTTACAGAGTTTAGACATCGCCCCTTTTTAAAAGCAGGAACTTATTACAGAATATCTAGCCCTAGGTACTTGAAAATTTGAAATTTCTATAAGCTTTTAGTTTTCTTTTACAAACAGAGTAACTCATCAAACTTAATGGGTTTCACTTGGATGCTTGATATTTGAGGATTTGAAAGTATATCTAGCCATCCCTTCTCAGCAGATTCCCCAGGTGGCTTTCTAAGATGCACGCACTATTTCAAGGAGCCTTTCCTCCTCACTGTTTCATATTCCTGGCATTTGTCTCTAACGTGCCATAGATGGCATTCCACATACACACAAACAAATGATTTTAGTCCAAGTCAGAGCAACACCCTATTCTATGCTACTACCATAGTTTAGCCCCAAATGTTTTACAGGAACGTGAAATTTGTAGGAAACCTTGAGGGAGGTTCAAGGCAATCTCAATGTCTTTGTCATACCCTCATGGCCACAATTGCCTGCCTCTTTGCAAGAAAGCAAGTCATCTTGCTTTAAGATGCTGTCAGCTTGGGAATGTCAGCTTGGGTTGAAGTGGAGAGCCCCAAACATATTTTGGCTTCCAGACAGTGAAACAGCAAATGCTTTGCTTTCTAACTAAACTCAAGGAACAAAATTTTTCATGTCTGCTTTGATGAATGAATTATTCAGAAGCAGTGAGTTCATCTCTTTTAGAGTCCAGAAATTGGTGAAGACCCATATAAATAGTAAACAATGCTTTTTTGGCCTCATGCCCCAACCCAAACATTATGTTACATGTAGCCAGCCAGATTCTGCCCTTGGACACACCCAGATGAGTCCTACTATAGTCAATGAAAATTGCATGAGAACTTCCGGGGGGCAGAATTTGGCTGGGGTGGTATGCATAAGGCTCAACTTCTGAGGGTGGGCAGAATTTGGCTGGGGTGCTATGCATGAGGCTCAAAGGGCATGGCGTACACCCAGAACCCAGCTCAATGGTTGGATTCATGTGCCTTTAGAGACAATGCCTTTTCTCTTTGCAGTATATTAACTAGCATGCCTTAAGCAGGCATGGGAAAATTGATCCAGGAACCAGTGCATCCTAAACTGTCCAACTGTCTGAAGTCATACTGTAAAAAGACAGAGTCATTTTACTTCTGAAGTGTGCTTTCGTGTAGACATATCGAAGCTGACCACAAATAAAAGTGAAAACAGATCCAGAATAAGTACAGTAAACAAGGGAAAACGCAGGATCCTGGAGTTCAGATGAAACAAGGCTGGTTTTGCACGTTCCCATATTCTGCCTTTCCCTCCCCCAAATGTTTTCTTAACATTTCTAGCATTATTAACAGAATTAAATCATTCCACATGGGTGCAGAATCAGCCCTATGATGCCAACATTTTTTCTTTTTCTGCACTCAAGATAGTAGAAACACAGTGCATTTTAATGGCAATGGCACTGATCTTTTATTATGGCAATTTAGGTCTCAGTGTTTACCTATGGGAAGCTAGGCATCATTCAGAACATATAAATGACAAGGACTTTGTCTCTGAGTACCTTATCATGTTTTCCAACAGATGCTTTCACTTAAGATATTCCATCTTTAAATCATCCACAAATGCTGATTGCATTGAAAGTATTTTTTTTTTTTTCTGAGAAGGGTAATGGCCCGGACAGTGATATTCTTACAAAGACAAAGGTAGATGACCTCACTACTTCAACTCGTAGATATAAACAGATGCAGGATGAGGTGTGGCATCCCCATGATTCCTCCTCTTAAAGCTCATATTATCTAAGAGATATTTATTAAGCATCTATTATGTGTCAGGTACTTTTCTAAATGTTAGAGAGACTGCAGTTAATTAACAAGTCCCAAGTATCTGCCCTCATGAAACTTGCATTCTATTATACCTGAAGAGGGAAAAATAAAAGAACTAGATCAATGCTGTATTGCTCAAGTAAGCATTGATTTAAATCTTTTGTAAGCATTTCTTCTCTTAGTTTTATGCCCAATGTTATATTTATGCACAAGATGTACAAAGTTGCCAAAACTTGTAAGCTTTTGGAAGGCAAGAAGAAGTTTACACACACTTTTCTTTGTAAGGCGATAATCAATTCCTAGATGATTATGATTAGCCCCTTTGCGACAAAGAATAATAAAATACTATCATCTCAAAACCCCATGCTCCATTTAGTCAACATACTACCATAGACTGCTTTTCATGTGGAAAGTGAATTTTCTTGGGTTTTGAAGTTGATCTTTCTAGATGACCAGGTAGAAAAGTAATATAAATCGTTTCCTCCTCTTCCAAAAGTAATGTAATCAACACACTGTCCTTCCCACTGTAGATTGTAACAATATATTTTACAGTCTTCAATAAAACTAGCATTTGAAAAGACAAATGCAACAGCACAAATGTGCTGGAAATGGTTTTCAATTATCTGATTTTAAGAACCCTAAAGAAATTTAAATTTAAATTTTGATTTCTTTAGGTTACTCAAAGAATTTGTGTCTAGTTGCATGATCATATTACTTTTGTGATCATTTTAATCACTGGTAAAATTAATAGTAGTTGTGTCTATTATTTTTAATTGTTCAAAAATATTATTTTGGGTGGTGAACTCTTGTTTCCTTCATGAGGATGGAATAAGAAGATGCAATATGAGGGAAGAGAGGGCATAGGAAATACAATAATTCCCTTAAGACTTAAGGAATTTGAGGCACATGGCAGGTAATTAAAGGCACAGGCTTTGGAGTCAGAAAAAAATGGGCTTGAATCTGGCTCTGCCACATGCTCACATGATTTTAGGCACAGTTGAACCTCTCTTAAGATCAAGCTGCCCATCGGTAAGATAAGAATATTTTACTTAGAGAGCTGTTGTGAGCATAAAATGGAACAATATCCATGAAGGACTTGGTGCAAGGCCTGACATATCTGTGAGGATATATCACAGATCTATAAAAGGTTGCTACTTTTCATTATTACTATTACTAGTATTTTATTTTTTATTACATTGCATAAGACAAGAGGGAAAATTTAGTTTTATCTTGCCCATGAGCAACAAGAAAAGGAATGAAGTATAATAGAAAAGCCTTGTCTTCCAAATAAAATTATAGTTGATAAAAATTGGTGTTATTATTTTCCATTATCATCAACTACTTGTAATAGGTAAACAGCTTTTTTTAAGAAACATGCAACCGATTGCTAATTTCCTATAATCTGGGAATCAAAAATAGTGTGTTTAAATGGATAGCCACAGTAATCTTTAAATTTCATTTGAATTTCTTATTGTAGCTAGTGATAGAAAATGGAACAAACGGTGAATAAAATCTGGTCATTTATATATTTTCTGGTGCAGGCTACACTCTATAGAATAAGAAACACTGGGGATGGTCATACTTCAAATCCCCACTTTTAGCTCCAAATATGCAAGTAATTGACTTTTCAATATTGTGATTTCTACCAGCTATCTATAGAAAGCACATGTGACTCAAGGGATGGAAGGAAGGCTCAGTGGTTTTTAGGTTGGGTAAGTTAAATGAGCCTGCTGAAGTGAACAGCTTCTGTAAACCACCATTTGAACAGAATTGGGTTGTCCTCTTCCATCTCCATTGGGTTTCAGTTCTACCGCTCACTACTTGCAATCACTAGGCTTTGCTGGGGAAGGTGTTTACATGGCTTTAAAGATGACGAAGTGGAAACCGTAAGGCTTTTATAATCTTAACAGAAAATCTTATCCATAATGAACAAGACAGGGGATCAGAATACACAGTAAATGTAGACCCAGAAATAGAAAGAGGCTTTGGGGGGTTTTAAATGCCATTTTGGTGATGATCACATTGTAAAGTCAGCAAGAAGACAACTTGAAGGTGACTGTGTGTGTGTGTGTGGTGTGTGCGTGTGTGTGTGTGTCTGAGTGCTGACACCACTGGGGAAATTTCCACAGGGGGATAGAGAAAAAAAATTCATTTATCCCTTCCCTATGACATTGTTTCTTGCAGCATATCTTCAATTCATTTGTCTGGTCTAGTTTGTAATGACTAAGTGATGAGGCTTCCATAATGTTCCCAGTGAGACTATTCCATAGTCTACAAAATTTCACTGTTTCCTCTTATTTAGCTTAATTGTACTCCATTTCAAGTCACTGTTTCCATTCAGGAAAAAAAAGAGTCTGTTCTTTAAATTCACATCATAGGAAATAGTTTTTGTTTTATTTTCATTTTTAATGACTGGGTTTCTCGGTGGCCATGCTTAACATTTGCTAGAAGAGAATGTAAGACTAGATGCAGATTTTTTTTCTTGTTCACAAGAGCTATATAAGCTGGTCTATGGGGTCAGATCCTCATCCAATGCACTTATGAGGGCATTTTTAGATGTATACATCCTGACCCAGAGGGCCTGAGCACATGTGATAAACCATATATTACATAAACATCTTTAGGGTTGTTATTTTCCCCCCATTCCTATGTCCAAGGTATATAAACATGAGTTCAAAGTTCAGCCCAATTTGAAATGTCCCACAAGATTTCAATTCTGAACTTATTTCTAGAAAATACACACTGCCATCTGCTGTACCTCCCAGAAGAAGGGGCATCCTCCTGTGAAAAAACTCAGTCTTCATTTTTATGGTTAAGATTCTAGACTGGCTCACTATTGCCAGCTTCTCCCAACCCCTTCTTCATTGTCCACGTGAAATCTACCCCTCAAGATGAAGTACTTTGAATACTGTAAAGTTTCTTACCAAGATACATCCACAACATCCTGGTTGGCAAGATGTTAGGGTAACATTTTCTCTCTATCCTTTTTGAAATAACCCAAGCCTATGAGAATAAGGCACAAATCTCTAACAAGATACATCTCAGACCTCCCCCCCACAAGATGTTCTGAATTGTTTGGGATTGCTTACATAAATGTAGCTTCCAAATCCCACTAAGACTTGCTGAATCAGACATTTCTGCAGGTGGGGGAAAAGTTAAATACCCCGGATGGCTCATGTGTATGCTGAAGTAGAAGTAACGAAGGTCTTCATCCCTTTCACTCTATTCTGGAGAGTGTTCACACACTTTCACTATCAAGCCACTTGCTGGCAGGAATCTTCTTCTTTCTACCTATTAGTACTCACAATGGAACTATTGCTGTGTGAACAAGTTGATCTGGTTCACATTAAACACATTGTCTGCCACCATTGCATGACTGCTTGAGATCAGTGTCAGGATGTGCCTGGGAACACAAACCCTGGCAGTGGCACTTCCTGGCTCTGTGACCTCAGCCAAGGCACTTAACTGTGTCTGTCTCAAGTTTCCATATCTCTGAAATGGTGGCAATAATAGCTACTACCTCATAGGGCTAGGATACAAATTGTGTGATTAAGTTAATTAATATGTGTGAAGTGTTTAAAATAATGCCTGAAGTATAGTAGACACTTTATGATTATTATTATTAAATCAAGAACACTATAGCTTCAACTTCTGTACACAATATAGAACCCTCTGTATGCCCTGTACACCTTCCTGGGTAGAAAACAAAGAAATAAAGCAACTTGAGTCTACAGTAAGTGGTAGCAGAAAATAACAGGAATCTTCTTTCTGTGGTATCCAGAATGAATAACAAAGACCTTAAAAGGCCATGAGGGCCAGGCGCGGTGGCTCACGCCTGTAATCCCAGTACTTTGGAAGGCTGAGGCAGGTGGATCACCTGAGGTCAGGAGTTTGAGACCAGCCTGGCCAACACGGTAAAACCCCGTCTCTACTAAAAATACAAAAAAAATTAGCCAGGCGTGATGGCGGGTGCCTGTAATCCCAGCTACTCGAGAGGCTGAGGCAGGAGAATCACTTGAACCCAGGAGGCGGAGGTTGCAGTGAGCTGAGATTGCGCCATTGCACTCCAGCCTGGGTGACAAGACTGAAACTTTGTCTCAAAAAAAAAAAAAAAAAAAGTCATGAATACGACACCCCAACCCTGCCCCCACTCCTGCCTCAGACCACAGCCACTCTCAAACAAGGCCACACCCATCATCCAAGGCATGGAGCATCAGCAAGATGACCTCAGAGTGCTGCAGCCCCCAACGTTATGTAAAGGGAAAAGAGTAAGTCCTGCTTTTTGGCTGGGTAGGCAAGAATAAATCTTTACACATTGATGACAATGACTTTTGAATGTCAGAAATGAAAACAAACGTCTGCTTGGAGCACAGTGTCATTTTCCAGGCCCACAGTGAGTGGAGCCACTGTAGCACTTGTGCTAAGAAAGGATTTTCCTTTCTACAAAAAGATTCTGAATAAAATCTCGCAGTTTTTCAGGAATCTAGCCCTTCCAAAATTTGTTACCTGGCTTCATCTGGGACAGGTTTGCTATACTAATGACTTTTTCACTGTAGGTATTCAGCATTCTGCTTGTTTCACAAACTTTCTTCTCTGCATTTTCCAGGCTAGTGCCAAGGATAAGGCTTTTCCATGCCAGGTTTTCTGAAAAATTAATAAATCTACTGCCATAATCCTAACTGCCTCAACTGACAAATTTAATAAACGACAGGATGCAAAGTCCAGGTTGCCTAATGGGATTGCTTTCTTTTCTTTTTCTTTTTTCCTCTTTGACAAGTTTTACAGAGTAGCACTTCTGAGACATGGTCAAGTGCTATAAACCTAATCCTTAGCAATTTCCTCCTTAGCTCAAATAACCTAAATATTTTATGAATGGTAAAGCGTTTCACATGTCAACCATCAACCAACCCTTGTCTATCCTTTTACTCTGCCTCACTTTTCTTCTGGTTGTTTGGGTAACTTTCTTTAGGAAAACATACTTTTGTCAATCTTTCACACAAAATGCACAGGATATTTTTATATGCTTTCTTTAGAAGCTTTCAAAAGGAGTATGCTATTCCCAAGCAAAATATGCTACATAAAAGCTATCAAAATTTTCCAATAACCTTGATGTTAGTTAAAAAAGAAAAAGAAAAGGAAAGAAAGGTCTGGTTTGAGTGTTTGGGTAAATAAGAGCACCAATTCTAGGGAACTGAAGAGCCTCTTGGTGCACAAAAAGGAGGCATCAGCTCCAGGATCTCTTCATGGAAGAGGTAGCTCTGGTGCCCTTTTGGGGCATTCTTGATCTGACTGGAAATGTGTTTGGGCCCAGAGTCCATCCTGTCTCATAAGAGTTCCTTTGCTCAAGGGGGCTGTGGGCTACCATCCAGCGGAGCAAAGTGATTCACCCGTTAAGTCTACAGCAATCTTCCTAAAGCAAAAATCCGCAGGGATTTGCAATGGCACTGGGGTAGTTTAGCTTGTAATGAGAAATGACAAGTTATAATGCATTTGTGAACCTAACACTTTGGGGTACAGTCCATCTAACAAAAATGATTTTTAAAAATATAAAAAAGAAAGAAAAAAATGTACTGTTAAGTGCTAAGTCAGCTATTATTTTAGTAACTTAGGTATTTTGCTTCCTTGGATCCTTATGATAGTTCTGAGAGGTAAATATATCACTTCCTGCACTTACAGTAGGGATTATAATGCTCAGAAAGTTAAGTAGCATGCGCAAAGCATAAAGGAAACAGACAAAATAAGTGGTGGTATTTGAACCTTATGGCAATAAAGAAAACAAGATTTATTTAAACCCAAGACACCAATGTGTTTTGAAATATTACTCACTAGCACCAGGATGTATTATTGGCTAACATGAGTTAAAATTCACTTATTTTGACTAAAGCTTCTGACTTTTTCTTTCACTGCTGTCAACAAAAAAATTCTTATAAAAATTTCTCAATATATTGATGTTCTACCTCAGCAATTCAAAACACATATTTTCCCTTTTAAAAAGTATTCTATACAGTTCTCAAAGGATCTCACAAAAAGGAGTGCACCATAGAACCAACAGAATTTGTATCAAAAGAGCCAGAGTTATTCTTTTGTCATAATTAATCAATCTTAGCACAATCATTTATTCAACAAGTACATTTATTGAACCAAGTTTTTGCAAGGGGCTGAGGATAAAAGATAAATATGAGCCTACAGTCAAGAAGATCACTGGGAAGGGAAAAGACATAATATCAAATTATTACTATAATACAGTTTGATAAATGCTAGGAAATATACATATGCAGAAGAGTAAGGAAGGTTGGAGAATCTGTGTGTGGCTGAGGATTCAATCAGAGTTGCTGAATCTTGAATTCTAAAGGAGGGATTGGAGATCTCCTGGTGGGCATTATATAAGGGGATGCACGTTTGAAGCACAGGAAATAACATAGGTCATGCAACTGTATAAAGCTGCCAATATATCTGAGTGGCTAATCAATACAGCATGAGTTGGCCATAGGGCAAGACAAGCAGGGAAGGTGAATGGGGTCCTGGGAAAGAAGTCCTTGTATTCCAGTCTATAGAATTTGAATTCTGACCTATAAGCAAAGGGCATACAGAGTATGTACCTAATACTGTGAAGCACTAAATCCTAAAAGTACCTACAACTTGCATCAGCTCTTCTAAGCAAAGCAGCCCACCATTTATTTGGGGGGGGTTCATGCTTTTCATCAGGTGACCCTGTAAGTTTGATAACAATAAAGTGGGCTGAGAATCAGTGGCTGGTCCAAAGGTTGGACATGAGAAAGCCCATTGGCCTGTAAGGTACATGGGATAGAAAATGTAGGAATGGAGAGGAAGGGATAAATCTAAGAGATATATGACATGGAACTGAGAGTTCTGTTGACCAGATGGATGTGGGGAATAAGAGCAGAAGCAGCCTAGGATGACTGTCATTTCCAACTACGGGGACTGATGTGACCGATAATCCAGACAGTGAATACAAGAGAAGGAACGGACTTCAGAATATAGAAAAACAGTGTAGTTTCGGAGGTCTTGAGTTAAGAAATTGAAATGACTTATAGAGTGATCATATTTTCCAAATTAAAAAAAACAGTTTTATAAGGACATCCCAATATGCAGTTTTTGTGAGAAAATAAGGCAGGTATTTCAACTTGGAGCTATTGCTATAACTATGAAATGCTGGGTACTTTAAGTTAAATACTGATATTGAAGGTCAGTTTAATATTCCTGGAAAGAAACTCTGCATCATCTCATCTTTTCTCTATCCTATTGAACAAATAAAAATTTATCCCAAGACTTACTGAGCCCCTCAGTATGCAATGCATGCTGTAGACTGAGGAAACTTGGTCATGAGCACTAGAAAATCCTTTGTCAGAATTGCCCTGACCCACTTTATACTTTGTTCATATCCCAGTCAACCCTGGCCTTACCCTGCCTTGCTCTTTGGACATTCAGCTTTCAGATTGTGCCTGGCTTCTCCTCAGGGACCTGCCTTGTCTCATCTCGGGCTGACCTTCACTAACTGTCATCCACTCTTTTGGGCACTGCCTCAGGGCCAAATTTCTGGAGCTATCAGTTGGCTCCAAACTTTCACTGGTCTAGATTAACAGCATAAAGTCAAATATTTTCTCCACAATATCTAAGACATAAAAAGATGCAACCTGTAGCCACACCTGATATAGAAGGCAATATAGCTTAGTGATGAAGACCAGGGTGTGATATCAGAAAAAGTTGGGTTCAAATCTCTGGTCTGCTATGTATGATATAAAATCTCAAACAAGTTACTTTAGTTCTCTAAGCCTCACTTATAAAACAGGAATGATGATGGAAGCTGCCTCCTAGCTTTCGGGGTCCCGATGTGATAATACAATCATATATGGCCAGTGCTTAACCTGGTACCTAACAGAGAATAAAAGCTCAATATTCCTCCTTCTTCTCTTCCTTCTCCTTTTCCTCATCATCGTTAATTCTCTAATATGCTTCTTGTTAGTATGAAGTCTACCAAGTTGCCATCCTCCCAAGCATCTTCTCAGAAATGTCCAGGTCACTCTCTAGCTTTCAGTCAGAAGTTCTCTCCTTACCATATCAGTGTTCTCATCCCTTTTGAATACCTTTGCATATAATCACTTGTTTTCATGGATTGATGACTAAATGGGACACCAACACTCAGATCCCCAACCCAATACTCATCTCGTTTCCTACTTCTAGATGCTATTAGACATCTTTTACTGACTATTTAGTGGGCTCAACACACTGTGTGGTTTTTTTTTCCTGAAAGGTATTTGTTGTACACAGACAAACAGAGAAAAGGAAATTCTGAAAGGAAAGAACTTTGAGGTCTAGGATCCAAATGGGTTATTATAAACAATTGAGAGTGTTTAAAAAGAAAGAAAGAAAAAGAAACATTTAAAAGAGGTCAAGAAAGTACCTCCACAGAACCCTTTTCATTTATATTATTTCAAGTAAAAGATCACATATTCAAAATGTTCCTATTAATTTTCATATGCTGCATTCTCTCAGCATGTTTGACCATTTCACTTCATAATGTTTTGGCACAAAAATGTAAATAACATTGCACTTCACCTTCCCAAGTTCCCATAGTCCATTTTCCGTAATAGGGGGAAGAATACACTAACAGTCAGAAACTATGCACATTCTGCTGGTTGAAATCCAAAAGTAGTTTTTTTTTAGTTTTCTGTCACAACTTGTTCTTGGGAGTTTGCTCCTTGCCAACTAGAAACTATGATTTTCAAGAGAATACAAGCCCTCTTAACAATCAGACAGGATTATTATATCTCTGTGTCGATGCGGATTGAAGCCCCACAAAAGCATCAATTTTTGACTTCAGTTCAAGATATGGAACCCCTGCTTTTCTACTTAAGATTTTATTTTTCTTGAAGAACTTCTAGAAGTTCTTTTTCGTGAAGATTTTATTTTGAAGAACTTCTGGAACATTCCTATTTAGCTGTTTTTAGGAGAGAAGCCAACTTTCATTTATTTGGTGAAAGAAGATGGGCTTTAAACACATTTCAATTTGAGGATGGGGTCCTACTGGAAATAGTTTTGCAAGTAGCTATTTACAAAATGTTTCATTGTGGTAATAAAGAGAAAGGGAGTGTGAGGAGAACTGGGTTCTTGTCTTGGCTCTCTGCTAACTACCTCTATGGCTTTGGGGAAGTCATTTTATGTCTAAGCCAGCTTTCTTTCAGTGCACCTCTGGGAAGACAGGGGTATAAGTTATCCTACTCTCAAAGATGCTTGAGCCCACTGGTGTATTATACATCATGCAATTTATTCAAGAAGGAAATCTGTAAGTTTGCTTAACCCAGTGTTTCCCAAGCTTATTTTATCATGTAACTACAATTAGTGTTCTATGGAACATTTACTTTGGGAAGCGCTATTCCAGGTGTATATTTACTCACCAGAAATATATTAGCATATTGAAAAAGATGTTTATTAAAATTCCCATAAATTCTTGTATTATCTGATTGCTCAAAATGTCTGTGGCATGAAATAAAAATTGAAGAATGAAGTTGTTTTTCTTAAGTTTTAAAAAGAACACAAAACTTCTATTTATGGAAATATGGTGGACTAACTATCCTGAAAATATCTTCTCGACGCAGGACATTAAAAAAATGTTAGGATACAGATTTAAAATATTTTAAATGTATGGCTACATTGATAAAAAATAAATAAAAAATCTTTCCGGAAGGCAGGAGGAGAGTGGGGAGGATCCAGTACACACAGCAAATGGTAAAATATTAAATGAGTTCCGAAGCTAGCAGCTTCCCCAGGAGCATCTGTCAATACTTTCTGACTTATAGCTGTGGTATAAATGACCACAGGAAGAACAGAAAACCTAGCTTAAGGGTTGTACAAGATGAGGAGTCATATTTGTGATCCCTCCATAAAGCTGGGCTTCCCAAAATGTTATAACCTCAGTGAAATGGTGAACTATAAATAAAATACATCTCATGGAACAATGGCAAGAACCCTGACACAGCATGGAGGGTGATAAAATAATTTCCTTGAGAATTTAACCATAAGTCAGACCTCATACAGATTTATAGCCTGAATTCACACCACTTTGAGAGTAACAAACATTATAAGGTGAAATGTAGCTAAAAAAGTTGTTAGTTTGAAGTATCATAGGTGTCTATCAGAAACAAACACGAAGGAATATGCTCTTGAGCTGGACCTCAAAGAATTCTGACAGGTAAAGTTCCAAGGAACAAAACATATTAAACATACCTGGAAATAAATTACCATGAACTAGAGAAAGCAAAACAAATAAATGAAAGAATCAGATCCTTAAATAGTTCAGCTATTAGATTATCAAATCCAACATATAAACGTTTTAAAAAGGAAGAATCAAAGTTATAAGAAAAAAAATCACTCTATAAGAATAACATGTGAAAACATAACTTTTAGAAATAAGTAAATCATTAATTTAAAAACTCAATGGAAAGGTTAAACAGTATAGATACAGATGAAGAGACATTTAGCAAACTGCAAACAGCAGATTAGATACAGCTGAAGAGACATTAAGTGAACTGCCAAACAGAACTGAAGATAATAATCAGACTTTAAAAATATGAAAGTTAAAAGACATGAAAGATAAAGTAATCAGGGTTAACATACAGCTAACTGGAGTTCTAGAAGGAGAAAAGAGACTATCAACATTTGAAGAATCTTCCAGAACTGTTGACAGACATGACTTCTCAGATTCAAAAAGTCAAACAAATTATAAACAAGATAATAAAAATATAAATAAATCCATACCTAGATACATCTTACATTTTTAGTAAAACTGCAAAAACAAAACTAACAAGTAAACAATAACAGCAAAAAATAAAGTCCAAGACAAAAATTTAAATTTAAAAGTCGAAGGAGAAAGAGAAAAGATTACCTATGAAGTAACAACAGTTAGAACGCTGACTTCTCAACAGCAAGAATGCAGCCACAAGCATAGATGTTACTAGTCAATGCAAATAGTCTTGTATAATATCCTATAACTATGAAAACAAAGTAAAAAGTATCAGAAGCTGACCAATGAAATGACTAACTAGAGAAAGAATGTCATTAAAATTAAGAGTAATCACTCATCATTTCTGAAGTGCAGTCTCTAGGGACAGGAGTAGTGAGCTTGGCTGACTATTTACCACATCAAAGACGCAAATTCCAATTTTTGTTGCCACCCCTCCATTCCACCTCTTCTGCAAACCCAGAGATGTGTGCCTTAGAAAATCAACCAGAAATTCCATCTAGAATCAAATTTATAAGTATAATGCAGGCAAATCCAGTAACTCATGAAATCTAATTATGGCTTTAAAAATCAGCTAAAACAAGGCATATATGAATGTTGTATGGAGATAGTCTAAGACAATGCGTCCTAAATATGGATATGCATTATAACTATCTAAGGAGTGTTCTTAAATAATACAAATAGCTGGACTGTGCCTGATCTACTGAATAGAATCTCCAGCACAGGAATTTGTACTTTTAAAAGCCTTCCTAAGCAATTCTGATACATGGAAAAATTTGGGAACAACTTGTCTAAGGGAACTCCAACTAGATCTAACCTTGTGCTCCAAAGGCCCAGTACCTGATTCTTATTAGTTCTCAGTCCCATGAAAGCTGACATACTCAAAATCAAACTGTCTTTAAAACTAATATGGGTACCAAATTACCACTCCTTAATGTATACTGCTGTCACATGAAGCACTGCTATTCGTGTTCCCATGATTGGCCCATTCTCCACCTACAGTCAACTACATGGAAGCATTATTTCAAGAAGAGACTTTGTTTGCATCAGAAACCATTGTCACATGGACCAGATAGCTACAAGTCCAGCATATTTCATCAGCATATTTTCTTCATGGCAATTAATAGGTTGCTGGTCAATACGGAATCAGAACAAGGGAGTAAGACAAATTGGAGATCCCTTGAAATATCCTTCTCATCAAAGGAATGGTTTTTAACACAAGACCAGAAAATGTAGGGCTTTTGACAATAACCCTGTGAGCAATGTAATCTACCTTAGTATCCTCTTGATAATGGAACTCTGAGTATGTGAACAAGATTGGGATGTGCACAGATGACACTGCTCCCATAAAACTCCTTAATTAACTGCTGTACCCTGCTTTAGAGTAATACTTTAAAAATATACACTCTTCCTTCCTGTTCTACGACACAGGCGCATGTTCATATTTCTAAAGTCCAGAAATGTCTTAAGACAGATATATAGATTTAATGTGACTTTGTTTTTATTAAATCAATGCAGCTTTGCCCATCAGAGCATAAAAAATTGTTTCTTCCATTATAACTGCAAATTTTCTGTGGCAATGCTTCATATTTACTCATCTTAGGCCAACCCTTGACAAATCATGTGTGGCCAGAGGACAGGATTAAAATCTTTGCTCATGATCTCCATGTGTGTGGGAGGAGTTACCCCAGAAGAAAGAGGGGCTAGACCAACAAAAGAGGGAAATAAGATGTGTAAGGCCAAATAGTTACTGTATTTGTAGTATTCCTGATTAATTCCAAAGGGAGCTTGTGTCACAAACAAACCAATTCACTTAAGTAACATGTTTATAAGAGCATGGTGGCAGCCCAGGTGACAGCTTCAGTACATTTTTGGATTATTTCAGCATTAGGAATTTGGACTGAAATAAGACAAAATGTAAATCCAGAAATAATATTTCCATTTTTTACTCCTTCCTGTCTTTATTAAACATTGGCCTTGATTGTAAAAACTTGCCAGCATTCGACTATTTGTTTACATGGGACCTATGGAAACAGCATTAAGCAATTTGTTCCTCAAACTATCATCTTTCTCCTAAAATTCTAATGTGCAACATTATGGTTATTCTTTCAAGCATACCAAGTTGACCTACCTAGGTAGGCCTACAGACCTCTGATCACTAGAATACATCCACAGCCTCTGAATTTGCTGAATAAAATATCTAGCGTTAGCAGTTCCTGGAAATGCAAATCAGTTAGAAAACTGTTTAGGCAAAATGGCAACTGAAAACATTCTTTGATTTTAAATTATTTTGTTGCTATCTTTAAGCAAAATTATTTGTCTCTATTGCATTGACAGTAAAGTGCTACAAAGATAGAGCTTACAGTAATGGTTCTTTTGAAATCTGATGAAGACAAATTTGTGTTACACTAATTTTAATCCAGTGGTCTTACCTTTATCATAACAACTTTAATTTTTTTAATTGAAAAGGGAAAAGATACATTCTATATAAACAGCAAATGCTTTTTCTGTCAAAGATAATTAATGTCTGATAGAGAAAGTTTATGAATTTTGTAAAAGAAAGGATTTTTGTTTGCTTTTTGAACAATCTTTGCAAAATAGCTCTCTCTGCTCTTTTGACATCTGTTAGCTCCTCCATATCCTGGAAGTATTAAGTGTATTATGCTTTCAGCTGCAAGCAAATAAGAACAAATCTCAGCCACCTCATTTTATAAATCCTTTCAATCATTTGCAATATTCTTTGACTAGAAAATAAAAGGACTGCATCAAAAAAGTAATTTAGTTCATTGCTTACAGATGAAAATGCACACCAGTCAGTGTCTACAGACAGAGTACATTACTAAAACAGATAACACTCAAATATTTATTCATCACTTGATAAGTTAGAGTTTCTAAAAAATCATTGATAATATCTCAAATGTTTATTTTCTCAAGGTTATCAGAATTTAAATTATGTGCATATAAGTAAACGTGATGACTTAATATTTTTGAATTATTTCAAGATTGCATTTAAATTAATGTTATTTGTCTGCAAATAATTTCTGTAGTCCATACTGTTATTTATTCTATTATCTGTTGGAATTATTTCTTTGATCTGAGTTAGGCCTTCAGAGAAAAGACATTTTAAGAAATCTCTCCTCTGTATCATGGCTCACTAAGTACTTAGAATACACTCAAAGCTATATTAGTCCATTCTCACACTGCTATGAAGAAATATTCGAGACTGGATAATTTAATAAGGAAAAAAGTTTAATTGAGTCACAGTTCCACAGGGCTTGGGAGGCCTCAGGAAACTTATAATCATGGTGGAAGGGGAGGCAAACATGTCCTTCTTCACATGGCAGCAGCAAGGAGAAGTGCCAAGCAAAATGGGGGAAAGCCCCTTATAAAACATTCAGATCTGGTGAGAACTCACTCACTAGCATGAGAACAGTAGCTGGGGGTAACTGCCCCCATGATTCAATTACCTCCCACTGGGTCCCTCCCATGACACATGGGGATTATGGGAACTACGATTAATTCAAAATGAGATTTGGGTGGTGACACAGCCAAACCATGTCGAAGTTTTACTATAGCAGTGAAAATTCATTGATATAGAAGTTATTATTTGTAACACATTCTTATCTTCCTCAAATATTTACAGATAAATCTTATTTTGAAGGCAGCTTTTGGGAGCAGCCACTTCTGGCCTTGAATTTTTCCTGGGGCATTACTAGTCAAGGTGACTTGGACACATTTTCTAACCCTTCTGAGACTCCCCCTCCACACATTTGTTAACTGTGGAAATCACACTCACCACACTGGGTTTTAGGAGGAGTAGATGAACTGATGAGTACAAAACCTAATGCAGTGCTTTATAAACAAAAGGTACACAATAAAAGTCTACATTTTAATCCAAAGAATAATATAAAGTAGGCTTTTACTCTTTAGGACTCTATTTCTTGGGACTCTTTCATAAGGCTTTTTCTCTCTCAAGAGCCCAATTCAAAATCCAGCTATCCCACTCCTGGGTATTTATCCAAAAGAACTGAAATCAAGATCTCAAAAGACATTAGCACCCCAATGTTCACTGCAGCACTATGCATAGTAACTAAGAAACAAACTAAATGTCCATCAATAGATGAATGGATTAATAAAATGTATATATATACAATGGAATATTATTGACCTTAAAAAAGAAGATCATCCTACCACCTGCTATTTTGATGGATGGGAAAATCCATGCCATATGGATGAACCTTTAAGACATTATACTAAGTGAAATAAACCAGTCACAGGATAAAGACTGCCTGATTTCACTTACTTGAGGTATCTAAAATAGTCAAATTCACAAAATCAGAGAGTAGAATGGTGGTTACCAGGACCTAAGAGGGAGGGGAATGGGAAATTGCTAATCAATGGGCATAAAGTTTCAATTATGCAAGATGAAAACTTTCTAGAGATGTGCTGTACAATATTGTTCTATAGTTAACAACACTGTATTGTACACTCAAAAATTTGAGAGAGTAAATCTCACGGTAAGTTTTCTTACAATAAAATAAAATAATATTTTAAAAAGAAAAGCTTAACTCAAGAAAGCCTAGATGGATCCCAGTGATGAAACCCTGTCACCAGGATCCTAATACTGATCATGTCTTAATCCCTGTCTCCTGGCTCACTTGAAGCAGGCTCCAACTGAGTAGTGACAAATATGGCAGCCAGGAGCCTGTGCTCTAATAATTCTAATAATTATTCAAACAATTAAGTGACAAACTGAAAAAGAGATAGTTTTCCCAATAATTACAGATAGAATCCAAGAATTTTCTCAGGTTCTGTACTTGGTTATGTGCCTAGCCCTGGACTGAAATCTCTGGCCAGGAGGATGCAGTAGATTCATGTTCCCTCATTGCCCAGGGGAGGCTGTAGCAGGCCTGCCTGAACTACCATGAGTAGGAGCCATGACAGGGTCATGTGGAAAGCAAAGGCTGAGACAGACTTGAGAAATGTCTGGACTTTGAATGCAGACCCCAACCCACACAGAGATCCATCTGAAGAGAACAGTAACTTTATAGGCTCAACATGTTCTATCATTTCCATTTGGTCCTTCTTTATATCTTCTGTTTCTTTGCAGAGATGTTCTATTTTCTTGTTAAAACTTCCTACTTTCACCTTTGTTTTATGTGTGTTTGTAACTGCTTTTGAAGCTTTTATATGATGGCTGCCTTAAAACTTTTGCCAGGTAATTCCAACGTCTGTGCAGTCTCATCGTTGGCATCCATTGATTTTTCTTCTCCCATTCAAGCTGAGATTTTCTTGATATGAAGACTGATTTACAATTGTATTCCTGGACATTTTGAGTGTTATGAGACTCTGGATCTCATTTCAATCTTCTGTCTTAGGAAGCCTCCTTTGACTGCATGCTGGCCGGGGAAGGGGTCCTGCCTCATTATGGCAAGCTGCAGGTGGAAGCCCAGGCCCCCATTTGGTCTCCACGATACCCTGCTGCAGGGAGAATGACTCCTCAATACTACTGGGCAGGGGTGGAACTTCAGGGTCCCCCTGGGTCTCTGGTGGTATCAGGGACCTTCTTGCTCCTACCCATGTGGCTTTCATGGATACAGCAGGTGGTAGAGTGAGTGGCTTATTACTGCTGGAAGATAACAGTCCAGGCTTTCCCCCCTGGTCTCTAACACCTCGCCAGCAAAGAAGGGGAGGCATGCCTGTTACCACCGGGCAGGGGAGGAAGTGCCTTCTCCCCATGGGTCTCCACTTTTGATGCGGGGATGGGCATCATTACTGCCAGGTAGAAATGTAAGTCTAGGCTTCTCACTTTGCCTTTGCTGACAGAGGTGGAAGTGGGGCTGCCGTTTTTTCCTGTGGTGTTTCGCTGAAGTAGGGAGGTTACTGTCTAAACATTTTCTATCATGCTAGCCTGCCCCTTTCCTGGTTCTTTGGCTAGAGAGAGCAGGCATTTCTTGAGGCTTTTTTTTTTTTTTTTTTTTTTTTGGTCAAAATTTCTTGGTTACCAGTTTCTCCAATACCTAGCTTGAAATATGTGAAGCAAAAAGAAATCCCAGAATCTTATTGTCATGTTGATCCTTAGATCCCAAGATTGCTAGCTGGTTTGCCTTCTTCTCTCTGTCTTTCAGTCTTACATTTATCTCCAATATCTACTTTTCTCTGAGATCTTACTTTTCTCTGAGATCTTGGCCCCGTATGTGCTGACTGCTTTAGTGTCCCTAAACCCAGACCCAGCAAAACTGGTGCGAGCTTTAAGTCACCATTTCTAGTAGGTCATTATGCCATGCACCAAGAAATGGTAATGCCCTAAGTGGGGAAAGGGAAAGAGTACACAGGGCTTACTCCAGTGTGTTTCCTTTCTCTTTGGGATATTGGCCCTGAAGCCCTAACTCTCTTGGTAGTTCCCTGGTGATTTTGAACAGATTTTTGAAAACTTATCCAGTTTTTCTTACTGTTCTTGCTGGAAGGGTTAGTGTGCTACACACTGGTCTTCCTTATTAGAAATGAAACTCTCAGATACCTCCTTAGGATTTGCATACAATATTGTAATGAGTATTCTCTTCTTTCATATCTGCCCAGGACTTACAATTCAATTCTGACAGCGGAGGACTGAGAGTCAAGACAGACTGCATTTGTGAAATTTAATAAAAAATGAATCAAACAGTTACTAATGAATTATTAGGTTTTCACCAGGGCTGACATTAAGCTTGTGTGCACTGGTACATTCATACTGGTTACTAGAATCTGATCTATTTCATATTAATTAGTAAATAACTGCTGTCCTGCATCACCTGTGCCCAACCTGGGATCCCACTGAAATTCTTAATGATCCAAAACATTAAGGCTAACATCCAATTCAGGATGCAGCCTCAGTGACACCATTCCAATGCCTTGGCCAGCATTCTATTATTTTTAGTGAGGGGGTATGATTAATTATTGTTAAGGTATTTTGAATACCACTCCTGTATACTTACCTCAGCTTATTTTTCATTTATTATAGAAATTAATTATATTTTTCTTTTGGTTATTTCCACAGATAATTGCTTAATATGGCTCTTTACTTATTTGAATAATATGCAACAATATAATTAGCAAGAATATTTGGAATTGTTTCTGCTAGTATACTCTTAATTTCTAGTCTATGAATATCTTTACCTTACATTAACATAATTGAAATCAGACGTGATTGCCAGTTTAAGCCAAGTAACTATGGTAAGGCCAACCTCACAGCTGAGATAATAAGTAATTCCTGCTAATCAAAAGTGTTACATTGAATATATGACACTAAGAACATCCTATAACACATATCTTATAGAAAATAATCATTAGCAAATTAGTTAATAGTGGCCATCTTTATTCTTCTATTACCTCCTGAATCATTTTCTTCTTGAACTGTGGTATCAGTGTATTATTGTCAACACACATGTCTGAAATCACATGCTCAAATTTCACAAGCCTTCATCAATATTTCACTTACTGACCTTCCATAGGAAAATTCAAGGCATTATGCAAGCTAAGATTTTTTCTTTCTTTTTTCTTCTTATTTGGAGATAGGGTCTCCTTCGGTTGCCCAGGCTAAAGTGCAGTAGGGCAATCATAGCTCACTGCAGCCTCAGATCCCTGGGTTCAAGCAATCCTCTTGCCTCAATTTCCTGAGTAGCTAGGACTGCAGACATGCATTACCACCATTAGCTAATTAAATTTTTTTAATTTTTTGTTTTTTGGTGACAAGGTCTCACTATGTTGCCCAGGCCGGTCTTGAACTGCTGGGCTCAAGTGATCCTCCCACTTTGGCCTTCCAAAGTGCTGGGATTACTGGCATGAGCTACCATACCTGGCCCTAAAATTATTTTTCTTTAAACCAAATTACAAACAGAAGCCTAATTAATGATTTTGCCTAACTGTAATACAATTACAATTCTTCACTCTGAAACCCACCAATTTAGAAGACGTTACATGCATTTTTAATACCTTAACTTTTTTTCTTTATATGCTACATTGAAAATGGAACCGTGTGCTGCAAATAAAAGAAAAAGTGAGGGGCAAGAATGCCAGCTGTGAGCCACTGTGTCTTGCTGCCCCCAGAAAAAGAAAAAAAGTGCTTATAGATGTATTCATATTTCCCAGTGATTGTGACCAAGCCTTGGAGGCTTTTCCTGGATTTACCTTAAGTTCCTGGTTACTAATTTGGTCCAAAGAAATCTCAGTATCAAATGTATATTCTCCAACTGGGACTAAGCTTTCTTTAATAGGACTTATGAGACATACTTATCTTTGAAGATACTGTAAGGATTGGGTTACTGAAGATTGAAGACTGCCACATTGTCAAAATTCATTTCACTGAGCTAATTTAGTCCTGGTTCTTATCCCTAAAGAATTAGTAAAAATACAGGTAGGCAGATCAAGTTAATCTGAGAACAGCCATCTTCTCCAGGAGTGGACAATCCAGCAGCTTATTCTCCCTAATAGAAGAAATGGTTGATATCAATTTTGTGTATATTTTAGTTCACTTTGAGAGGCTGTTTTCCATTGATAAAATTTATGTAAAAAATATGAAATGTATAAATGTTGGAGGGGTGTAGGAGGAAATGATGGTGGCAGAGGCTGTGACAGTTTTGACCAGGTAAAACTAATTATTGAGGCTGCTTAGAAGGTAAATGTCCCCTGTTAAGGGGTTTCTTCAAAAATATTTTTGCTGTCCATCAATCACATGCAATATTACCTTGCATTTATGGGCTCCTATAGATGTATATGTTAATATTATTAATTTTAGACAGTAGGTAAAGTTACTTATTTCAAAGTGAAGACATGGAGGCTCAGCATGATTAAGTGACTTGCTACAGGTAACAAAACATATAAGGACAAAAGCCAGATTCTAACTCTTTTTTCAGTATTTTCTCTTTCCAGTTCTCCACAGTCCAGGTAGTACCTGCATCTACTATAATCATGTCAAATAACATTGTTTAACATTCTCAAGGCATGTTAGGGTAATTTTAGCATTGTACTCATAATTGTTTTAAAGTTATTTCTTCCCCAGTCCCTGCTACAGAAAAGATGAACTGGAAAGGGATCAAAGGGGACATTCTCTGGCCCAAGAGGTCAAGAATTCACGTGTATTAATAAGGGATTAGTCTACAAGAGTTCCTCCCACAAGCAAGTGAATCTTGTCCTCAGAATGTAATCCCCAGTAATGTAGAATTTTAATGACATAAAAGTGTTATAAGTCGCTATGAGAAGAGGATGACCTAAGCAGTTCTGAGTGGCCCACTTGAAACACTGAAAATGAGAATGAAAAGAATGCTCTTAGCCCTGTCCAAGGGAGACACCATCATAGGAGCTTAAGTTTCAGATGATGGTAAAAGCATGCTGATGAGTGGAGCAGAACTAAGTTTTGATAAAGCTATGAAACTCACTACCCCCCTCACCCCCAACACACACAAAATGGCTCCAAACTACCTGCTTCTCTTTGCCCGGAAGCCATGCTCAAACCATCTTGTGAGTATCAATGTGCCACATTAGGTTCTTATTAGACTAAGAAGAAGGTATCATACTCAGGGATAGAAAGATCCAGAAGCTGTAAAAGGCTTTTCCCACAAAAAAATTTAATAGACACTAATTCAACAAGTCATTGATTGAGTCATACACTCATGCTTAGCACTGAAGAATCTAAAACGATAGAGACACCATTGCCCTTTAGGAGGTCAGAATTCAACTGGCTTTTTGGTGGAAATTAGTTTTATGAGTGAGTTTAAAGGGTATAAACCAATTTCATCAAGGCCTGCAACCTACTGGAAGAGTAAACCATAGTAATTCAGGTCAAATAACTGAGAAATGTCTAAAGTTTAGAGGTGAGAGCAAATCTAGGATCCCAGCCTAAATAAACCTGCATGAAGTTGTAAGCACATCTACATTGGTATATTTTCTCAGTAATTCATCAATGGGACTATTTCCTTTAATAAAACATAGGGATCTTCAGAATTTAGCATTGGACAGCAAATCAGTGGCTGGAAAGGGGTGTCTGAACCAACCCCCAGGCTCTCCACCTGGGCTTTGCCTACCTTTTCTCCTTCTCCCCTCTGACTCTTATGCCTTCTCCTATGGGCCTCTTACCACCACTCCTGTTAGTGCTCTAAAATAAACAGGAACAAAATTAGTTTTACTTACTAGTTTTCACTGAAATTGGTTGAAATTTTCAGAAGAGTTTCTTTTACTAAATATTAAACGAGAAGAAAGGGGAAATAAGAATGCTACACACATAGGCAAACTAATTAAGAAAAGCTTTCTGAACCTGTCAAAGCTAATTTGCCTGTGGGGCCTGAAAGTTCTATCTCATTCTGTATGGGATTCCCTGAAAAAGAGGTGGCCACCCTCTTAGCTCCAGGACTAAAATAATTCCTAGCAAGAGGAAAAAGTAGTCCGATGTCCTCTGGCTGGCATCAGTTGGTCTCCACAGGGCAAGCTTTTGGATGTTGTGACTACCCAGAGTTTGTCACAAAAGACACAGATTTCATTGCATTTCTGGCTGGGTGTCTCACTAGTGACTGACGCCAGGAAGAAGCTTATGCTCAAAGTCAGCCTTCCTCAGCACAGAATCAACTGGACTCCAATATCTTCCCACCAGATCATAACCACAGCACCCACAGAGGCAGAGTCACATGGAAGTTTTTCTCTCACTGATTCCTGTTAACTGAGTCCCCTTTGCAGAAAATCATAGTAACTCAGCAAAAGGCAACCAGTGGTTAGAAGGGTTAAAGGACCATAGTGAAAAGACTAGAATCTATTGGACATCCCAAGATACTGTGATAAAAAGAATCTTTATTATTGAAATAACCGTGTTCCTCTATGCTCCTGTTGTTTTTGCTAAACAAGAACATGGCAATTTCATGAGATGAATTCAATCTGAAAAGGGGTAAGGAATGAGGCCCCCTCACACCACTTTTTTCCTTGACAGGAATGATGATATTTCTCTGGATTCTCTTCTTATATTTAGGCTCAAAGGATGCATGTGCCAATCCAAATACACACTGCCCTCAAACTTTTCTAGACAATCTTTTGGTCTGAAATTAAAGACAATGACCTAAATGTGGTGGCTAGAAGAACACTTCTGCTAATGATTTTGCTAGAAATCTTTGGTTAGGAGCAGAAGAAACTTACAAAGCCCAAGTGTTTACTACCTAACTTCCTTATATCATAGACCACAGATAATAATAGAAATAAACTGGCATATGCTTGTATTAATAGACAGCCTGAAAAATGAAAAGAAAGAAAACAAAGGAAAACTACTTATATTGGCAAGAAAAGTGTAAGAAAACTAGAAAATTAAAAGTTACTGATGAATTGGTCAGGGATATTTAAAAATTATAGATATGTAATAATAAGGATAAACAGAATATAATATGACTGTGTAGAGCATTAATTCTCAATGCACATGGAGAAAGAAATAATGGACACAATTTTAACTTTCTAGAAAAAAATATTCTATTAATTAACACTGTACTTCTAAAAAAATAAGGTTTATGCCTTTTTCCCATTGTTCTGTAAAGATTTTTCTAAATATTAGAGTAAATTATTTAAAAATACTGAAGAAAGATAAAGAAGATAAAAATTACCCAAAATCTTATCACCCAGGAAGAATTATTATTAATATAATAACATTGTCTTTAACATTTTGATATATTTCCTTCTAGACTTTTTTTTTGGTAGGGGGAGGCTTACGTCTCATACTATCAATTATGCAAAAGCTTGAATATTACAAAACAATCTAACAGTTGAATTTTAGACGAATAACAAGCTCTAAGGTCCAGATAGGAAAGAAGATGAAAACAGGGATAACCATTTGATGTTAAAAAGTCAGTTAAAGAAGTTGCCTGAGAAGCTGGTAGAGTCTGCTAATTCAGTGATAAGAAAACACTTGCCAATTTTTTCCTGTAAGTTTCACTTAGCCCATGTTACCCCTTTTGAGTGTGACTCAACCATCAGTAGACCCCTGAACTTTTTAAAAACTCTATTCATTCTCAGAAAACATTTATTCTTTCTGTTTTGGTCTGAACTACACAACCTACTAGCAAGTCTGAATCTCAACACATGCTGTAACTTATATAGCTTCATTATTATAAAAATATATCTAATATACAGGGGTGTGTGGTTACAAGTGTGTGTGTGTGTATGTGTGTGTGTATCTTCCCTGCACTGCAGCATTTTGTGAGTTTGGCTCTCAGGCCAGCCGCATTCCCAGTGCTGGCAGAGGGCTAATGCAGTTTTCCTGAGACTGCAGATTCGATTGTTACTTATCTTTTATTATGATTTCCATCGCTATCATTTTATTCAGGAGAAAAGCTTATCAATCCTGGTGATGTCCTTTTAATTCCAAGGGAATGTAAGATGGAAATTTATTGTCAGAGGCCCAAGGCTAAGAATACAGAGATAATAAGAAAGCCTTGAGAATAACTATCTTGGGTATACATAAACAACACTGATACATTACGTGCATAACTAAGGAGAAGCAGCGAGCTGATACAGACTCCAAGGAGAAGGAGATTGTAACTGTACATGGAGAAGAAAAAGGAAAATGAGCATTCTTCAAAAGCCCATGTGACATCAAAAATAGGTAAAGTTAACCACATGAGGAACCCAATACCTGAAGAATGAAGAAAGATAAAATCAGATGCATTGTACTTAATTTTTCTTTTGGTAAACTTTGTCATTGGAAATATTTCCTGTCTTCCATTTTGCAGATTTATAATGCCATTCTTTATGCCTTAATGAACTTCAAGCTGGCCTCTGAAAACTGTTTCCTCAAAATATTTAAAAGTTTTCAATGCTGGTGTTTTTAAATTTGTTAAAGGCAACAAAATTAAAAAAAAAAAAAAAGAAGAAGAAGAAGAAAGAAAAAGAAAAAAAAAACCCACACTAGGAACTCCAAGTCCTGCCAATTTTTTCTTCCTGCCAAGTCCTATTAGTATAAATGAACGGTTTATTTTAAGAAATGCCTGATAAATTACTCTACACAATCAGTAATGAGGGTACTGTCAGCAAAGGAGAATCATTTCCAAAATTTACTTGGCATTAAGGAGCTAGTGCCTTCTAAGCTCAAACTGGGTTATGTGGCCCTAGCCCCTGTGGATTCCATAAATCTCTTCCTTCTTCTCAGAGGACAGAGGGATCAGCAGATATGGGTAACTGCTGGGATTTCTGTATGTCTGCTTACAGTTTTTGAAAACTGAAATAAAACATGGTCATTTGCAAACTTCCCTTGTCAACAATTTCTATCACTCTTTAGAGAGTTTATTTTCCTCTTGGACTTTGCCCCAGAGGAAAATATTAAAGACCTCAGGGTATTATAGCAAAATTTAAAAACACAAGTCAGGGCAAAAACAGAAAACAGCACGATTATAAAAAGGAAATAGTTAAAGAGCTCCACATTTCTTTTAGGACACAAACCTTCACCCAGCACCTGATTCCCATCCAGAGTGGCTTTAGAGAACTACACTTGTAGGGATGCAGAGGCTACAAATCACCAGCCGAAGACAAAAGCAAAGGAGGGCAACAGATGACCACTTCTAGAAAGAGGAAGAAAGAAAACTCCATAATTTAAAGAATGCTTAGGTAAATAAAACCATTAGAGTTTCAATTAAACAACAGGAGAGTATGATGATCGTCAATGGCTTCCACACAGTTTGCCGACAGCACTGTACCTTACAGAGCCATCAGGTAAAACCCTTTGTGTGTTTATTAATGAACACCCAGAAGCCAGATCTCAGAAATAAAAGACATGTGGTGGTGTCGTCTATCCCCAAGCCACTAATAGAAAACTGCCTTGTCCTGAAGCTTTATTTTTCTAAAGGGAGACATAGGTGACATTCCTTTTGATTAATTATGGCAGCAAACCCCAGCAAAGCTATTGTGGGAATGAAGAGTTTAAAACTTGAAGTCTGTTATCTGTGAAGCTCTCTTCTGCTCTTTAGAGAAATAGTATCACAAAAGTTAATGGTCAAATAAAATAAACAAATACCTCAAATCCTTGCCCACCCTCAATTTCCCTTGGCCTACTTATAAATCCCCCAGTGATGGGCTTCGACTACTTTTGCTGTAAGACTATTTTCCAACCACTGTCTACAAGACGTCCACTTACTCTTAGCAGTGTCTGTATAATGTTTGTGCTGACCCCGCATCAAAATCTTGTTAAGCCTCCAAGTAGGAGACAAAAGTGTTTCATACAATTTATACTACTCATATTTTGTATTTAATATGTTTAAACACTAGGATCAGAGTTCAGCGTTTAATGCAATGCAGTATGTACACAAGCTGACTAAATTACAGATGAACAGAGAGATGCTGCATACCTCCTCCAATCTTATAGCAAGAGGAAAGATATCAGCTCTGCTTAGGAAATATTTATAAGTCCCAAGCATTCTTAGCATCATTAATAAGCAGCTCCTTAATGGTCCTTAGAGGTCATTGAGGGGAGTTGATTCCCATTTTGCAGATGAGGAAACTGAGACCTGAAAAGAAGTTGGGTGAATTTTTCTGGGGCAAAGACATCAACGGAGACAGAACCAGCACCACCCAGTGTAGAACATCAGACCCCAGACTCCTGAGCCATTCTGCCTGATCTGTTTCCCCAGGGTCTCTGCTCAGAACACTACCTGCATCCTCTACAAAAGGCTGGGGTGTTGTGGTCAATGTCCATGCTAACATTCCTGAGGTGGCTGAAAGGGAGCCAAAGGGCTGGAGAAATGGACTCTAATATTGGTTTGATTTGTACTTGGTAAAAGCCATACAGAAAATAATGGGGTGGAAAATCTCCTTACCCAAAAGACTCTCAGCTTCATCTCACCTACCACAGAAATATGTTTCTACACAAAAATTATACTCCAAGGGTCTCAGGTCTAATCCCAAGTAACATTAAGTGGGACGGTCAGGGTAAGAAAGGTGTAAGTTTTACGCCAAGCAGATCACTCATATCAAACCAGCTTCCTTGGCCTCCAGGCCTGTGATCCACTTTGATTATTTTCTGATCACTTATGAGTGCAGGGCAGGATGCCAGGGTTCCTTTCTTTGTAGCCTCACCTCACCACTGGGTGACGTGGGGCATTCTTAGATAATTAAATTATGAAATAACCCAATGACAACAATTACAGAAAAAATGAGTGCTTCTGAAATAATTTTACTTCTGCCAGGAAAAAAATAAATGGGTAGACAAATGTAAATTTTAAATGAGCTAAATATCATATTTAATTTCTAAACATAACTTTAATCCTATTGTGAGCTCTCTGAAGCTAGCTTTGGAAATGGCTACCGCACTGTTATGATATTCCCCAGGTAAATCAAGTAGATTGTCACGATTCTAATCTAGCCATCATCATTATATTCTCACACCCCAAGGGTGCTAAAAGCACAGGTATACTAGAGTCTGTAGAAGGCAGCTATGATTTATAAAGTACAATTCTACAACCTCTGGCCACAGCTGAGTAAAACAATAGGGTCTTGACTCAAAAGTGGTTAACCACTGGCTTTCAGTCCATGTGACACTATGATCAGAGATGCTGTGTCCCAGTCCTCTCTGTGGAATTGAGAACTGGCAAACTAAGTCGCTGAGCTAGACAGCAGGGGCCACTAGAGTGGAAAGGTGGTGGGAGGCGTTGCTGGGGTGGCCGCTGTGGGCTAGGCTAAGCATATGCTGAGGAGGGGAGTGACTATGAATACACAGAGGAAGCCAGCTGGGAAAGAAAGGGAAGAGTCAGGCAGAGGAACTGTGATTCAAACAAGGATGTGAGGGTGGTACAGTGCAGCCCCTGCCCTTGCTGCAGCTGGTCGTTTGGCTTCTCCCAGGCACAAACTTTCAATCAATCCTCCTTCACAGGAGGCAACTTAAGTACATGTCTGTTTCTGGTAACCAAGAATGCCTTGAGAAGAAAAAAAAGGCCCCCAAAGGAAAGATTAAAGATCTTCTGGGGTAGTCCAACCATGGCGCTGCCCAGTCCCAAGCAGACCCAGCTTTCCCCAGACCCACAGCAATGCCAGGACTCCCAGAAGAGGCTGGCTCCTAGTGTAGCTCCTGGTTCATGTGAGTACTTCAAGCAATTTGGACATTCTTCTTCCAAAATCATTATGAAGTATCACTGAAATTTAATACTAACAACATTCAGATTAAAAGATGACCCAAAAAAGTGAACTGATTTTAAAAAAAAAAACCCACCATGGAAACATAAATAGGAATGTGGCCATTCACATCAGAATGTGGCTCTGATGTCTTTTTACCCTACTACAATAGAAACTCATGGCCTCTCCACTAGTTGATCCCGATGCCCATGGAAAAGGTAAGAGTGCCCAGTCTGATGCATACCTCCATCATGTGGCTTTCCATTCAAGTTAAGTAGAAAAAAAAGCAAGTAGGATCAAAACCTAGAAACTAATATCTGGGTCTAGGAAGAAGAATATGCATTTCATTAGTGTTTGGTTAACATGAATCTGAACAACCACTATCTATGAAGATAGATAAGAGGCTCTCTAGAGAAGAGAAGAAAATTCTCTCTCATCTCTACCCCTGGTAGTAGGATTTTGAGTTCAAAACTTCATAGAGGAGATCCCCGTTACACCATAATAGAGCTTCTAAGATTGTCAGCATCTTCTCATGCTTCACCGCTCTACTGCATTAATGTTTCAAACAGCTTCCTGAGGAGAAAAACCAACCTTTGGCTTGATATTTACTACATGGGGCATTGTTCTATAGATGGCAAATGGATTTCATCCTACTTGCTGACTCCAAATGACTGGTAGGGCCCTGTCCCAGGAAGGGTTCTCCAAAGCCAAGTGCACTCTAAGCTTGGTAGGAAAGAGCCTGGGATTGATGAGCAATGTCTGTCACTGGCATGGGAGGGAAAAGAGCCAGAATGCTAGGTACCAGCCAGCTTTAGCTCACACCTTTAATGTGCAAGAGAGTGATTTAGAGGACTGCATTTGTGAGCCTAGAGCACAAAGAGATTCAGCTTCAAATATCTCTTTGAGATAGAGGTGTTGACATTTAAAACTGAAATAATACGTAGAAAGTAACATTGATGAAACTTATAGCCTCTAGGTTCAGAAAAAGTAAGAGCAACTAATTAATAACTATGGAACTTCCAGAAGAATATGAAAACTCAAATCCAAGAAGTAGAGTTTTTCTCATGATGCAAAAGGACCATTTGATGTCAATCAAAGAGAAACAACCATTAAAATGAATACAAATAGTGATGTAATCAGTTTGGGTTTATGTCCTAAAATACAAACAAAAAAAGACACCAACAAAACCCCACAAAACTCAAAAAGTCTTTCAGTCTAAATAAGGCTGGAGTCTCCCTTCTGAACACACGTGCTTTTGTGTTCTTTTTCCTATTTTGATAGTTGAGAAACTGAGGCAGCGTGGGAAAGAGAAAACTAATTCAAAGGCCCCAGTGTGAATCAACAGCAGATTCTGGGTTTAGAAATAGAAGAGCTGATTTGGAGTTGACTTGTTTTAGTTCTCAGACACGTGGATTCCCTGGCTGACTTTCACAGCGGCAGGATGGGGACAACCGCTGGGCACCTCACTGCAAACTGCAATATGGCTCAGCAGGAACTTGGCCAAGGTGTATAAAAGTGGCAGGCACAATGGGGAAGGGCTCAGGTGAGTGGCCAGGAGGTCATCTGACATTGAAAGATAATATGTCTTAACAGAATAGATTCTTTAGAACACAAACTTTGGAAAAAGGAAAAGAACTAAAGTAACAATTCCAGAGGCAGAACCATTCTGAAAGCCTTATCTGTGTTCAAAACCTATATGGAGCTCCTCCTTCTCACACCCTAGGCTGACGTGATTTTATGTTGCTGCTGCTTAATAGGAATTTCAAAGATTGCACCTATATTGACTTACATATACTTCCACGGAAGGAGATAAGATGCAGAAATAATCCACTCACCTTACACTTAAATCCAGAGACAGTTTAGTATCTTGGGTTTGTGCTCTAAAAGGCATAAGGTATGTCCATCTAAAACTAGGCCAAATTTTCTCCCATGGAGAAGCAAAGCTCCACATCTTTAATTGACCTGAACCTTAATTTTCTAATCTGTAAAACACAGAAAATAGTATCAACCTGCCAAGATGAAATAATGTTTCTAAAACAGTGTATGTTAGGCATCTTATCTGACAGAGTTAGCACTCAATGCATATTAATTATTAGTTTGCAGATATACCTCTTAGCATTGTTAACTGAGAATGCTTGTAGGTATTTGCCTTTCCAGTAGAGAAACTGGGACTCTATGTCCTGCCAAAGACCTTGTGTATGTATAAGCTAGTGGTTGAGAGCAGAAGGAAAATATATTTACTTGTAAGTCAGGGTACGTAATTGGAAAAAGGATATCACACTCATTTTGGGCACAGCTCATTAGTGTGCATGGGCCCTTCAGGCCACCTCCTTCTGATGTAAGCCACATTAGTGTTTACAGATGGTAAAGCACATTTATCTTTCAAAACCTTCAGAGATGTTCAAGCAACTCTGAATGACTCTCAAATAAAAGCTTTTGCATTTGTTATGTGGCATCTCTTCTGTGTAGAAACCCCAATAACACCACAGTTGAAATTCCATAGCATGGTAAGCAGTTCCAAAAATAAGTATAGATTGCTACTGTGAAATACATATATTTTCCAATAACAAGAATTGCAGTCTCATTTAGAGGTTTTTTTGGTCACTGTTGTTTCACAATTAAAAAGATGTGAATAATTTTATTTAACTTTTTTATCTTTTTATTACCAACTAAATGTTACTAATGGGACAGTACACATGGCCATGAAAACTCAAGACCCATTATTTCTTGATGTTCACACCAAATTTGTGGGTTTTTTTTTTTTTTTATTTGCCAAAATGCCTTAGTCGTTATATTTCACAGTTACAGTATTTGGGGTAAATTGAAAATATGAAACTTATGGAAAAAGCCAACATATAATCAAAATCTGTAAGTCTTTGCAAGGCTTTATAATCTGTAGACAAGTATCAACAACAGAAATAACTCTGTTAGGAAATTATAACTGCATTTCGGCAAGACAGTGTTTTTGGCCTACAGATTCTACTTGAGCATCTAAAAATCAAAATGTAGCAAAAATTAACACAATCAGCAATCTCCCATCTCCACAATGAGTAATGAGAACATTATAGATCAATTTCATGGGACACTGGGAACTTTTCAAGATTAATTAATAACATCTATTCTAAAGAGAAAGCAACAGACACATTTATCTCATTATACTTATTTGCAGTAATTACATAAAAGAGAGCATTTATGTAAATTACAGCAAATATTTCAGTTTTCATTTTGCCTGCTGCTTCTGAAGGCATTCTTTTGGCAAGAATAACTTCTGGGCTTTCATGAGATACATTAAATCTATTTAATAGAATTTCCTATCTTCCCTGTGACTTTCAGAGGGATGGCTATTCAATCTCTTCTAAAAGGGAAAGAAGGCTGATTTCCAAAACTTGGAAATAATCATAAGCTTTACACAATCTTGGTGAATCTTAAATTAGGGAAAGAAAAAAATGTAACAAAGGAAAGCTTTGGGTTGAATTCGGAAGTATTGTGAGATTCTAAAATTTGATGTAGTGTATTTGCCCTCATAACACATTTCTGTAGAAAATAGATTTATAGCATCCATTTCCACTCTGATTTCCTGTTTCTCTGTCCATTCAACAAGTATTTAGAAGCCTAAAATGGCTATGTGGAGTGTTTTAAGAGTTAACCTAGGAAGTGAGCACCCCTCTGGGAGCAATTTGATTGGTTAATACTAGTTCTGAGCTCGGCATGTGAATCTTTATGACTGCACAGCTTCGGGAATGAATTGCTTGACCTCAACTTTCTCCATGGGGGTGCACACCTTAATTTTCCACACTAATTTTCAAACGGAATGACAAAAACACTTTACTTATCTAGAGGTCAACTATTCTACAAACTCAACTACTTGGAACTCAGACAAAAAGCAAGCAAAAAAAGTATCTCTGCAGGCAAAGTGATGTCATCAAATCACATAGATTTTCCCATCGGAGAGCTGCTCATCATTTGAAGCAAATGTACATTGATTTTATTCACAATTCCCATCACTATGCTGATGTTGTTTTTGAGCCTAGAGCAGATTAGAGGAAACAAATCGTATGTGAGAAAGACAGACTAATAGAGGCAATACACTCAAAATAATATGATATAAAAAGATACGGCCGGGCACAGTGGCTCACGCCTGTAATCACAGCATTTTGGGAGGCCAAGGTGGGCTGGTCACCTAAGGTAAGGAGTTTGAGACCAGCCTGGCCAACATGGTGAAACCCCTTCTCTACTAAACATACAAAAATTACGTGGGCGTGGTGGCAGGTGCCTGTAATCCCAGCTACTTGGGAGGCTGAGGCAGGAGAATCGCTTGAACCCAGGAGGTGGAAGTTGCAGTGAGCCGAGATCACACCATTGCACTCCAGCCTGGGTGACAAGAGCAAAACTCCATCTCAAAAAAAGAAAGATACTAATTCAAAAATTATTAATAAAAAGGTCAAATGATTCCATGTGCCCCTGTAGTCCATAAGGAATCACTTACTATAAAAAATTAATATTCATAATGATTATAAAAACAAAAGTTTTCATTTTATTCAATCTACATTAGTTAAGAAAGTGAGGAAGTTGTTTTATAAAGTAATTTTATAAAGAATTTCATGGAATACAAAATATTTCAAGCTGGTGCAGTGGCTTACACCTGTAATCTCAGCACTGTGGGAGGCCGTGGCGGGCAGATTGCTTGAGCCCAGGAGTTCGAGACCAGCCTGGGCTACATGGTGAAACTCTGCCTCTACTGAAAAAATCAGCTGGTTGTGGTGGTGTACACCTGTAGTCCCAGATACTAAGGGGGCTGAGGTGGGAGGATCCCTTGAGCCCAGGGAGGTTGCGGCTGCAGTGAGCCATGATTGCACTGCTGCACTCCAGCCTGGGCAACAGAGTGAGACCCTGTCTCAAAAGTAAATGATAGAGATAGATAGATAGATAGATAGATAGATAGATAGATAGATAGATAGATAGATAGCAGATAGATAACACCAGATAGATAGATAGATAGATAGATAGATAGATAGATAGATAGATAGATAGATAGATAGATAGATAGATATTTCAAAAGAATTGACACATAAGGATATGCTCTGGAGATCTAGCGTCTATCACGATGAATGCTGGAAAATCTCATAGTTATTTAAAGAATTGCTTGTGAGCTCAAACATGGAACTCTGTCTTTTTATTTTTTTTTAACCAGAAGCATGTTCTCCTCCAAAGAATAAAGGCTTTTATCTGTAACCACAGGAACTTGAAACAATCTGCAAGACTTACGTATGGGCTGATATTCAGCAGGTGGTAACAGGAATATGGGAACCAAAGCCAGAAACTGAGCTTTCAATGAGAATGTTACTCTCTCCCCTACTCCTACAGACTTTTGGTGTGGAAAGTGAAGAAGAAGGGAGGAGGAAGGGAAAGTTCATCCTGCTGAGGATGGAGGAGCAGGCTGCAAGCTGGCTTACTCCTTCAGGGAGCTTGAGGGGGCACTATTAATAATTATGCTTGGACAACAGGCATACACCAAGACAGTTCTAGGCAAATGGAACATATGGTCACCCTAGTTTTAAGGAGCAAGATGAAAAATACTATGCTAATTAACTATCCTCTAACAATTCTTGAGGTAGAGGACAGTGGGAAAATATAAAGGAGTAATTCACAAAAGTATTCCATCGAATACCCTGAAGAAATAACTTCCCCAATTTATGTGCTCATTCATTCAGTTAGTCTCAGTGAATAGCTACTGTAATACATTACAATTTCCAATATAATCTCTCTTTCCTATTAGATTACATGTTTTTAAGAGCCAGAATGTCTTTTAAAATTATATTTCCTTTCAAGTCTCATTTATTTCACTTCTTCAGTAGATGATAAATATCTGTTAACAATCAAAATAGTATCCGTAAGAAAAATGGAAGACCTACATATTGAAAAATAATATGAATAATAATTACACTTTTATTCCCCCATCGAATCTTGAATTAATCTTACAAGGATAAAATCAGTCACTTGAACTTAGTGCTATACGATCCTGGATTGCTCTGAACCACAGTATTTACCTTTCCAGCACTGACAACCTCATGGCATTGTTAAGATACATTACAGGAAAGGGGCACATTAGAAAAAAAATGCTAGAAAATAAATTGTATATTGTGTTACTTGATAGACTTTATAATTCAATTTGACTATCAGTCTACTTGATAACTATAGTGTTATAGTTACTGATATAATTTGGTTACATCGATACAGATTGTGATCCACACACAATCTGCTGCATTTTAATAGATTAAACTACACCTTTCTAAACTGTATTTATAGAGAAAGATGTGGGTGAGTGTTGGGGGGGAAATCTAAGTATGTTTTGCTATGTGTAGAATTATAACTTTTGAAACAAAACATACACACACAGCTACATTTGTTATACTTTTGGATATACAATCTTAACTTCCTGGGAATTTCTAGAAAACTTTTAAAAGCATAAAATATTGTATACATGAAATTAAATTATCTGCTCATATTTCAAAATTTTAGAGACATTGGCATCTGGAAATTTTTCAGGGTTAATTAGTTCATTCATTCACTATAAATACATTTTAATAGCTACTGTGCTAGGCCATAAAGTGATCACAGAGCTCCTGCCTCAAATTGCTCATAGTCCAGTGAGCAATTTGTCTCCAAGGTTATAAAGGCATTTGACACAGTGAGTGAAGGTATTCACAGGATGTGGGGAGCATACAGGAGGGACACCAGTGCATTGGGGATTAGGAAAAAGTCTTCCTAGAGCAGGAATTATATAAACTGAGTTAAATGATGATGTGACAGATATGGTTTGTTGTCCATTAATATCCCTTCTCTTCTTCCATAGAAATAGGGCATCTGTTTTCCAGTAGGGAAGATGCCACTCTTCATCACCAGGATAAAAACTACATTTCCCAGCCCCTGTGCAGGTGACTAAGTACTTGTTAATATATGTGAGTATAGGTATAATTTGACAGCTTCCAGGAACCTTCTCCCGAAATAGTTGGGGTATGCTCTTTGTTCCTTTTTCCTCTTTGTGCTTTCCTCTAACCCTCTGTCTGGAACATAGATATGATGACCCAAGCTCGAAATGCCATCTTGTACTGCAAAGACAAGGACCACCTTCCAGGGAAGGTGGAGCAATGAGCTAAAAGGAGCCTGATTTCCTGAAGACATCCCAGGGCAGAGATGTCATACCAGCGCTGAACTGCCCGCCTCCAGACTATCATGGGAGAGAGGATTAACCTCTCTTTAATCTGTGCTATTTGGGGGTTTCTGTTATAGCTAAAGATAATCCTGATGCAGCAGAATAGAAGTTATCTAGGCAAAACATAATATAAAAGCCACTCACCACAGAGGAAACAATACATGCAAAATAACAGAGACAAAACAGCATGGTGTTTTCAAGAAACTTGACAAGTTCAGCATGACAGGGGTTCAGGGAGGAAGTAGATGGAAAAGTATCAAGCTTAATCATGAAGGGGCTAGCAGGTCATGCAAAGAAAATTCGATTTAATTAGAAATGCATAAAAATCAAATGCATATTTAAATAAAGGAGAAATAATGTTATAAGAAATGAGTGAGTTAATATACAGGCTCAATCCAAGAATCAACAACTAAGTGTTGAGGGAAAGAAGTCAGACAGCTATGCTTCCTGCATTGGTGTGTACATTTGGGGCCTTGGCTACCTTGTTTAGGGATCAAATAAAATTTAAGATAGAGTTTAGAGAAAGGCAGGTGTATTCATTTCCTGTGGCCATTGTTACAAATCGTCACAAAGTTGGTGGCTTAAAACAACGTGCATTTGTTTCTGTAGAGCTCTGGAGGTCAGAAGTTTGAAATGCGTTTCATTAGGCTAAAGCTAAAGCCCTGACAGAACTACAGTCCTTTTGGAAGATCTAGGGCACAATCCATTTCCTTGCCTTTTTCAGTTTCTAGTGATGGCCTGCATTTCTTGGCCTGTGGCCCCTTTCTCCATCTTCAAAGCTTATCACCCTGCTCTCTGCTTCCATTATCACATCATATTCTCCTCTGATTCTGACTACTCCTGTGTCCCTCTTATAAAATGATGGTGATTACACGAGGCCCTCCTGGATAATTAAGTTAACATCCTTGAATTAATCGCATCTGCAAAGTTCCTTTTGTCATATATGATAGCATTCACAAGTTCCAGGGATTAAGACATGACATATTTAGAGGGCATTGTTCAGCCACCACCTCAAGGAATCAGGTAAAAATCCCGGATTAGGAAATGAGAAATTTGAATTTTGCTTCTAACTCAGTCACTGACCTTAAAAGCCACTTAAGTCAATTCCCTACTCTACACTTAAATATAAAATTCCTGCTAAGTGCTCATCCACTCTCTTCTTTTAACTCTACTATTACTGCTATGTTCGATTCCTTGCCAGGAAGGTCAATACTCTCCCCCTTGTTTTTTTTTACTGCTCCCCATGTAAGAAAGCTTGTCTATGCCTTGAGCTTGAATCCTTTCCCTCTAACATCTAATTATTAGCCCTAGTTCTGCCCTCTCAAGGAATATCCCTCTCTACATTCACCACTGTAGTCAAGACTTCTCCTAATAGACACACTCAGCACAGGACACGATTTCAAGCTGCCTCGCCCTGCAGGCTGCACTCTCCCTAAAGAACAACGTGGCACTCACATGTGCCTCCCCATCAAACTTCTGTGTGCACCTGCCTTCCAATACAGGGTACTGGTGTTTGGAGGTCTGGTTAGGTATTTACAAGAAAAAGGAATGGCATAAACAAATTAAGTGTTTTATAAATGTGACACCAAGCATCAACCATGATACGAAAACATTTGGATTGCAATATGGCAAACACAACATTATTTGAAAGAAAATGAACGGCCTATAGGGCTCAGTTTTTAAGCATCCAGCCTGATCTTCACAGCAAGTATTCTTTTATGAAGCAACGTTTGCTATTGGTCATGTTGAACATAATTCTACCTAGAAATGGTCATAGAAAGATAGAGTGGGTCTCGGTGCTGTTTAAAACATTTAGGGGTTGTTGGCATTAAACACACTGAACAGATTCCTGGGTGACCTTGCCTCCTGGTCAAAAGGTGCCTCCCACGAAGTGGCCAAGGCGAGTTGAAACATCATTCTTATATCCTTTATGGAGAACAAGAGTCCATGGTGCCATTGAGGACTCTAGGAAACTCCCAAGAACTTTTCCAGGGACACAGGAAGCAGCCGAGGCTTCCTGCAGATTGCTGCTGTGAACCCTCCTTGAGCAGCCACTGCCTCTTCCACTAAAGCTGTGCAGAGTTCTAAGAAATAGGTAGTGAAGCAGCCTGAGGCCCCTGACTATGGAATCTTACCTGCTGAATGGAGGAGAAGAAGCCCAAGACTGAGCTGAAAACCTTATCTGGATAATATGCTGCTTGGTTTTCTGCCCTTTAATTCTCCTCCCCAATTTCTACAGAGCCTGGGACCCTGAGGGAGTATGGGGCATTCTTGGTCCAAGCTCAGATGACCCATGGCCAGTCCTCACTATGTCTTCAGACGCAGTCATGGTGCTCAAATGTGTCCTGAAATGAATTCCTACCTTTTGTTCAAGTTTTGAAAAGTCTGCCTTCTTCCCTTGGTCTCAGTTCCACCCTTAAAACTATTCTGGTAACTGTGTCCTTCCAGGATATGGGAAAATCAATGATTCCATCTCGTTCTTGGCTTTTTCTTTCTTAAATGTCAGGAATTGAATTCTGCTTTTGAATACTGGCCTTGTGGCTGAGGCCCTGCTATCCAGAAGGATTTACCTGAAGCCTCTGTCTTACCTATTTGCTAGGATTCTGTGATGTTTCTTGAACCTACGATCTCTGTGTGTTTTGTCCACTGCCTATCAGGGCACCTTTTCATCTCTTGCTAAATCTTCTGACACCATATTTACCAGTTACTGTGCCCCACCTGATGGGTCAGCATTCTTTCCATTGCCCAGAGGTAGGCCATCCTCTGCCACCACTCTGACCCACACCAGTTGGCCTGCCCAGTTCCAAGTTCTCACATCCATGGGCTGCTCCATCCTAATTAGGCAACTAACCCTGTCACTCTCCTCTGTGGTTTCATATCAGATCTGGGTCCCATGAGAGACCCTTTGGACCAATAGCATTTTGAAAAATGCCCCATTCAGATAGGTTTGGGAATGTTAGGGCTTAGGAATACCATATAGTTTTCTTTTATATCATGTGATTTACATTCTATGGGCATATATTTTGGGTACAAAACTCTATACAGATGGCTTTTTTAAGTTACAGGAATTAATATTACACCCTTTTGAGAAAAATTCTATGAAGACGCCACCTATGTTTTTTGTTTTTCTTTAATGCAGGGGGTCAATTCCTGTAAGCCAACTTGTTTTTAGTGTTGTGGTTTAAGTAGACTTTTCTCTTCCTTTGCAAAAGATAGATTCAAAAGTCTTAAGTCACTGGAACATTTTCAAAAGCATGTAATAAGTAAATAATCCAGACAGTACATATCTAAACATTTCTTAGGTTAGATGTGGAGATATTGCTGTTATGTAATCATCATCATCAATATAAGGCCTCCTTAAGTGTGGGCACCAGTTTTCATGCCTTTACTACTATATCCAGGCTATCGCTTTCATCCAATATTGTTAAATTCCCCATAGTGCAAATTAAATGTCACATACACAGTAATAATACCAGTAACTTACATTTGTATAACACTTAAAGTATTTGACTTGGAATTTCAAAATATGTCACGTGAACACATATCCACCTCAAACTGCATATATAGGCCAGGAGGATAGGATTGGATTGCTTATATGAAAAATATGTGTATTTGCTAAAATCTACAACTGACTACTGGTTAATTTTCAAATACTCCAGCAGTTCTCTATACATACCCTAAGAGAATATGGCAGGAAAAAATTATTTGCTTCAAAGCTTAATTCTTAGTAACATATTGAAGTTTACAATTTCTATTAGGAAAAATACTAAATTGACAGGATTTGCAGGAATTTAGATTTGCAGGAACAAAGAAAAAATGACAGGAATATCCATATATTAAATAAAGATTTTCCCAGCACTTTGGGAGGCCGAGGCAGGTGGATCACCTGAGGTCAGGAGTTCGAGACCAGCCTGGTCAACATGGTGAAACCTCATCTCTACTAAAAATACAAAATTAGCTGGGTGTGGTGGCATGTGTCTGTAATCCCAGCTACTCAGGAGGCTGAGGTGGGAGAATTGCTTGAACCCGGGAGGCAGAGGTTCCAGCGAGCAGAGATCACGCCACTGCACTCCAGCTGGGACAACAGTGTGAGACCCTGTCTCTAAATAGATAAATAACTAAAGATTTAAGGTTGAATTTAGTTATACCAGGACTGACAACAGGATTTGTATATAGATGATATGTATCACTTTTTCTACACTTTTGAGGGCTTCATGGTTTCAACTATATTATGTTGGAATTCAAGTATAAAAAATTATATTACAACAGAGTTCTGTTGTCTTTAAATAGGAGAGCACCGAAATAAACTTTTGCCTTTTCCCACCTCACACGAAAGGTTGAATGTTGACATTTCCTTTCATATATGTGAAGCATTTAATAAAGGTAAAAAAGAGTAGTCCAAAGAAAATACATGGCTGAAAACTTAGAGGGTGATGCTTGATATTCAAGAAAAGAACAGGAAGGGGCCTTGTGGTCAGAGGGTTTCCCTGCATCTGAGAGAAGGCGCCCTGGTTGACTGGGTGAAAGATTTAGACTACTTCAGAAACTGCTCAAATATGAGTATCTCCTCTACTTCTTTTTAACTCATGAATTCCAGTTTCTTCCCCCTGTATGGGCCTTCCCTTGGTCTTTATTATTACCTCCTAAACCCTTTACATAAGGACAAAGGAAACTTAAAAGATAAAGAAGAACATAATTGGCAATTTATATTGGTTTAGAAACCTCTTTTTCTAAATAGCTCATTTTTCTTTCAGCTCCATGAATACCCAAATCGTTAAAGTAGATGACTTTATAATAGTTCGTTATTTTTTATTTTTTATTTTTTATTTCAGGAGAAAAACACAGTTTTTAGGGTTTTTTTTTTTCTTTAATGGCATGTCCCTGAAAGCATTTGTATCAGGCTCTTCAGATTCCAGGAAGGAGTTTGAATGTAAAGAGACCAAGAAGCATTTTCAAGCCATTTTTTTTGTTTATTTAGTTTACTTTTTTTGAAATGAAGAGAATCCAATTCCATAGAAAATACCTTGGTATTTCAACTGGAATGAGAACCTCTGGTTTGGAGAGTCCACAGTTCTAATCTGATTTAAGACCAAATGTATTTACATGACAGTTGTTTGTATTTGTCTTACTGGAAAATTTCACAACTAAAGATTTAGAAAAAAGGATCAGAAAGAAAATTATCTGTAATTCACTACAAATGAAGAGAAATTAACTAATAAAAACTATTGTTAAATCTCATTGAATCTAAAATGCCAAATATGAAATAAGCTGTCACTTACACATTCTGAGAATGTAGGGACTCTACTGCTATAAGCTGGCAAAGGAGATTATGAAACCCCACTATACCATTCTGATTATAACTTGAGATACCATAAGCACAAAGAACCTCTAGGATTGGAATACTAGAGAAAGAGGAGCCTCCACACCACAGAAAGAACACTGCAGCCCCAACCTGTGGCATGCTTGGAAGAACTGTGTGTGAGTCCCAGCTGTGATCTTACTCCTCTCCAAGAAATTGACAGCTCACCTTGTACAGAAGGTAGCAGAGGGATGAAATAGGATTGGAACTACCTCTATCAGGAAGGTTGACAGGGAAAACTCCTTAGCCAGTTCAATGCAGTAAAACAGCCCCAATTAAGCTTCATTTAACAAATATAATCTTTGGGATTATATTGTTTGGTTTCAGACTCTACTCCACCCTACTCTCTTGAATTGATTCCAGAATAATTGTTTAAGTCACTTATTTTTTTTTAACCTTCCTGTCAGGTCTGTTTTTTCCATCAGTACTAATATACCATTTATATTTTTTTTGAAGAAAAGAAGAAAGCCTTATAAAGATAGCCAAATAAGATGATATATATCATCTCTGCTTAAATCCTGCTATGGAACTGAATTCCTCATATTTGAAATGTGTCCCATGAATGTAAAAGACATAAGCAGTCAGTCCTGATGGCTAAAAAAGGTGAATGAGGTAACAGTAACACTGATGGGCTGTTTGTCTCAAATGTCCCATAAATAGAAATGTGAAATTAATTTTTTTCAATCTACATTCTCTCTACTCAAGGAACAAACTCCTCAGTGGTGAGCTGAGGTAAGGCATTTAACAGGGAATGGTTGGAATTTGAGTTGTCATTTCCATGCTCATATTTGGGAACTTCTTGCAGAAATAAAAAGTATACTTAAGTGCTTATTTCCAAAGTTTGCTGTGCAACTCAAGAACACAGGACCACACTTTTTTTTGGTGGGGGTGCTTTCTGTTTTCCACTTTCTAATTGAGCCTATTGAAAAGACCTCCCTCTGCTGTATATATGCTGCAGGACAGTTGGGGAAGAGCTTTACCCTAGGCCTGCTGTTGCAACAGCTGGTGGCTTTGGCATTTTCATATAAACACGCAAGCCGAAGAAGAATTTCTCCTTTCTAATTGGCCCCATTCCCCCCTTCCTGGGACATTCCACAATGCCACCAACAATGAAGTGCTCAGAAAGGAGGAATCGTTTCTGTTTATGTGAAAATAGATCCTAACTCCACGAGTGAAGGGAAGAAATAACACAAAGCTTCAAAGACCACAAAGAGAAGTTATAATCAAATCTGGATGCTGTTTCTGAGATCTGGCAGTTCTCCTCCATATACCATATGAATGCCCGGTGAGCTGGAGCCAACCGCCCTTCCTTCTAGCCTGGCCAATCTCATTCTCTGTGCAACCTTGGGCAAGCTGCTTGCTGAAGCCATGCCACAGGATTATCTGTGTCAAGCCTGAGTAACACCCCTGGTGACCACCCACTCTCAAACATGAGCGAACCATTTCACTCTCAGGAGTGCTTCATATAAACTAAGCCTAAAGTTTATAAAAGTGATAATCAAAAAATGCCTTCAGGAGGCAGTAGAGCATCGCAATAAAAGGGCATGGATTTCTGAGTAACTCAGAAGTGAATGCAAATTCTGACTCTGTGACTTTCTAGTTATGTGACCTTCCTCGGGCTATTTAATTTATCTGAGGCTCAGTTTGCTCACCTGTGAAATGAGGATTCTAATGCCACACCCCGAGAGTCCATGTGCTGATTAAATACTCCTGTATAAAGCACCTAATTCATATTCAGGCTCACTAAGTGTTAGCGAGTGTTATCAGGTGTGCCCTACAACTAGCCTTATTGTGGCTTACACTATCAGGTGTAGCTCCACATACAGTATAATACAATGCATAAAATTTTTTATGCTGGCTGGGAGGGGTGGCTCATGCCTGTAATCCCAGCACTTTGGGAGGCAGAGGTGGGAGGATCACCTGAGGTCAGGAGTTCATGACCAGCCTCGCCAACATGGTGAAACCCCATCTCTACTAAAAAAAAATACAAAAATTAGCTGGGCATGACGGTGGGCACCTGTAATCCCAGCTACTCAGGAGGCTGAGGCAGGAGAATAACTTGAACCTGGGAGGGATAGGTTGCAGTGAGCTGAGATCATGCCAGTGCACTGCACTCCAGCCTGGGCAACAGAGTGAGATTCCGTCTCAAAAAAAAAAAAAGAGAGTTGTTTTATGCTTCTTACCGTCAAAGATATTACTATAATTCAGCTTGGGGGAAAACATGTTTGGAGGCTTCAGGCAACCTGAATTATAGCAAATTAAATAGTTTTCTCTATTTTTCAATCTCTGCTCCTAAGAAATATGAAAATGTATGCATCCTTTTTAAAGAAAAATAATCTGTTGACACCAGGATGTTATCAGGAAGAAAAGTACCTTTCCAAGTCTTTATCCAAATAACACAACTGATTTCTCCGTATCATGGCAGCCAAATCACCCCTACTGTTAAATACTGTTTCCCTAATATACTTCAAGTTTCCCTTTTGGTGGTAAAAGCCTGTTTCTTCTCATTTGCCACATTAGGCAATTAATTGGGTATTTATAGGCAGCTATCATAAACCTCACTGTCACCGCTACTAGTCATACATCTTAAATTCCCCACATCTTGCTACTTAAAACCTACCCCTTAATCACCTCATCATCTTTGTCACATTTTTAAAGTTTCCTTCCACTTAATCAACTCCATTTTCTAAGCTAGAGTACGAACAATTGTGCAGAATTCTCCTCATGCAGCTTTACTGAGGCTCAATGAAGAGGAAATGTTTTCTTCTTAAGTGATTTCTTTAGATCCCAGGATAGTTTCTGCTTCTAGTGCAAGAGCATCACCGTGTGAGCTATTCCTGATCTGCACGTCAGTGTTACCTTCAATCCATTTCCATTATTAATGCCTTTCCTTGTCAAATGAAGCTCTTCTGGTGGGGGCTGAGCCCACTAGGAGTGAAATCACCGCCCCCCACTGGAGGTCTCTTACCACACAGGTTCCCCGGGGCGTGCTCCTGGCCAACCCTCTCCCGCCCAGTGTTCATGGGTATTCCGCTGTCATAGCAGAAAGAACCCACTTTGACGCTCCCCGGGAACATTGGACCCTTGAGCTAAAAAAACAAAAGAAAATCCTGACCCTCGGAGGACGGTCAGTTTTCTTATTTGGTTTCCTCTCCCTTTGTTAGCACAATCCAGCCAATTTCTCCAGTAAATGACCATTACAACTTGTCTCATGTGGCTCCAAGGGACACATGTTCCTAGTGGGGTGACCCAAAAATCACTTTTCCACAGGATGTTAATAAGCGCTCTGAGGGAAAAAGGGCTCTGCTGTCAAATAACTGCAGGAAAGATGGTCTTCGATATCTCCCTCTTAGGCAAACACATTTCAGACTATCAATGCTTCTGAGAAATGTCAAAGTAAAGAAAATTCACTGACCTTTGCCTAATGCAGGTTTCCCAAAGTTGTTTGACAAAAGGGTCATTTTGTGGTGGGACAACTATTACTATTTCAGAAAACTAGGGTCCTCTAGGCAAGGAACATTTAGGAAATGCTGTGCTCTATCATGGGCCCCTCTCTAATTTCCCATAATTAAGCTGTTACAGTGTTATCTATGACCTCTGCATTATTTTCACCTGCATGAACTGTCTGAAAATAATGATTTTGGAGGAGGCTTTCACACTGCGTGGTCTCCATTGACTTTATACACAAAATATTTATCCAAGAGCTCCTACTTGGAAAACAAACAAAGGGGCCAGTTTAGCCTCACGTCCATCTGGCAGTGGCAGCCTCAGGATCTCCCAGTCCTCACTGTGTCTTATTTGACTGGTCACTGTCACATGCCCCATTACACAGTGCTTCTTGTCAGCCAGGACTTGGCACAGAGTAAACACTGGATAAACATTTGTTAAACGAAAGGATGATTTGTTTTATGTTATTTCTTAGAGAAACATGCGTGATTGTTTCAAGGTTTAATGGTTGAAAAATTAATGATGTGGCTAGTTTTATTTTTCCCCAAGACTACTTGTTACTGTAGATGAAGCTACGAGTTTATTAACTATCTATACTGTGTTTCCACTTAATCCTTCTATGTGCTGAGCACTGGACATTTATTATTATTTAATTATTATAAGTTGCAGTGAGTATTTGGTCTTCCTGTCACAGATAAGAAAGCTGCCACTGAAATACGTGAGACAGCCTGTCAATGATCTCCAAACATAAATTGCAAAACCAGGCTTTGAGCTCAGGTCTCGGTGACTAAGCCTACATGCTCTCCATTCTAGCCTATTTTGTATGCACACCACACATGCATTCTACATGTACACATGAAAACATCATAGAAGTTAATTAATATTTTTATGAATCATATTTTTGTTGTAGCTGAAAATGTATATAGCATGAAATTTACCATTTTGACCATTTTTAAGCGTACACTTTAGTGGCACTAAGTACATTCACATTGTTGTGCAACTATTATGCCATCCATCTCCAGAACTTTGTCATCTTCCCAAAGTGAAACTCTGTATTCTGTAAACACTAACTGGCCATACCCCTCTCCCTCCAGCCCCTGACAATCACTATTCTACTTTCTGTGTCTATGACCTTGACTACTCTAAGTACCTTATATGGAATCACGCAGTATTTGTCACTAATTTACTTTTAAACTTTTCTGGCCATAGTATCAACCACATGCTTGGGGAAGAAAAATCATCTTAACTCTATTATACCAACACAACATTGTTTGCAGTTTAATTAATGCTGCTCTGAGGAATCAGGCTGTAACTTTGAAATAAAACCAGCCCCAGGTCAGCAAGAGGAAATTTGCCCACACAGCACCATGGCCACAGAGATCACTGGAAAGACAAAAATTCTGGGTGATTCCAGGAGGCAGCTTAATATCTTGGGTCTTTTGATGATTGAAATCTGCATATATATCCCAAACATATCTCCTTTATTCCCCTTCCAAACAGCATTTCTGTTAATGTGTGAAAACAGTACAACTAGCGGGAAATGTAGTCCACATGTTTTGGTGCATTTACACTTATATACTCTTGAGAATATTAAAATGGCCTAACAATACATTTTCTGATGGCTGCTGCTGCTTTTTTTTTTAATAGAAACACAATTACAGACTTTGTTAAAAAAACAAAAACAACAACAACAAAAAAACCCACGTAATCCCAAAATAGGTAATCCCAAAACAGGTAATCCCAAAATAGGCTGAATCTAACTTTAAATTCTTAAAATGTAAATATTATTTAAATAAATGTCAACTGATCTTCAAATAAAACATTTAAAATATATCCAGCAGTCTTTAAATTAGAGACTAATGTAAGTAAGGTAAAAAAAAAAACTCAATAGTTGGTTCAACTTCCCTTTTTGGCTCAACTTTAGGAGATAATAGTAAATAGAGAAAAGAGGACAGATTAAAGATACACCCAGAGCTGGGTTTGAATTGCAACACTAACATTGGTTGGTATAGCAACATTAAGCAAATCTCTATTTTCTTATCTGTAAAATGGACATAGTAATATGGTTTACTGAATTGTCCCAGAGAAGAAACAAATGGTGTATATAAAGTATTCATATATATACCATATATAGACAAGTATTAAGCAGATGTTTATTTACTTACATTCCCTCCTCTCAAATTTGAATGCTCCACAGCAATTATGCCATTAAAACCTATTCACAAAATATAGTTAAATGCAGCACAGTGAATTGCATTTTTCCATTAAATTAAAAGGATGAAAAGACTAATCCCATTAGAACAAGAAAACAAGGCACTAGAAGCTGAGGTCAGTTATTTAAGGTCACACATGAACTTGAAGGCCCAGCAACAAAGAGAAAGCAGAATTAGTCTCTGTTGCAGATATTCTTTAAGTCTACGGAGGGTAGTGCTTCTTTAGTTTTTGTGGCTGCAGCATCTTCTTGGTACTTTTATTTGACCACATCCACGCCTCAAATGCCCAAAATGTCCTGCTATTAATTTTTTTCATTTTTAATTTGATTAAAATTTGGTTTTTGCTTAACTGTTTGAAATGCTTACGGCTTCTTGAAATAACCCAGGATTTAGAGCTCTTAGGAACATTTCAAACAGACACAAGGGTTGTAAGCAGATTAGACTAATTGGCAACCCACTCCAAGAGGCACACAGCCCATTCTGACTTACACAATGTTCAGATAAAGGGCAAATTAGGGAAGCATTTCAAGGTCCCTCGGGCCCCCCTTCCTATGTGGTATTAGAACATCTTACTCAAAGGAGGAACACTGAGACATGCTGACTGTTAATGCCATACCCAGATAAAGATATGACAACATGAAGATGTGGTTTCATTAAAGCTGATACATACAGGACAAATAAGATTCGCTCCAGCTGAGGAGAGAAGCAATAAGGCCCACATACCTAGCTCAGTGCCCCCAAATCCTGAAGGTTTGGGGATGATATGAAAAATGGGATATGATACATTTCCTATTGATTATAGTAAGGTATCTGAAGGTTTTTCTTTAACCCCTTTACTACCATTTCTTTATCTCCACCAACATCTTTTTAATATTATCATAACATTGTATGCTTAGTCAAAATTAAACTACAATCATTTTAAATAAAAAGGTGGCTTGCTCCATCTGGCTTAGTAAAGATAAATATTTTATCTAAGTCTTCTTAATCAGAATACTTCTTGACATCTTAAAGACTGATCATTAAAAAAAAAATTCCATGAAATTCAGCCCAATTTATCTCTTCATGCACCAAGAAGTCCCTTCTTGGTAATGCTGAAGGAAAGCAAAGCCACTCCTCTTTGAGAAAGGATTAAAATGACTCCCTGTCCAACCATGAATAAACCCAACCATAAAGCCAAGCAACTCACTCCTAGCTGAAGCCACTTGGAGGCAAAGATAATGTCACTTCTTGATTCTCCAAGTTAACGCCATGATACTGAAGTCCAAACTGGTAGATAATTTTAAAACTTTTGTATTTAGCTATTGTAAGATATTTGTTTTTACTTCTCTAATCAGTTTACATGTCTAATTAAATTTGATTAATTTATTCCCTAAATGCTTATCGTAAAGTCAGTACTTAAAGTTGATCCAGAAAGACTTTTTTGTGCACTCAGTGAAGGTTGGCTGCAGCTAATATACCAGGAACGCAATCAAGAACTGATGAAAATTTCTGATACATCTTCTGACACAATAGCAAAAACGGTATACCATCATTTAGCCTTTTACTCTTCCTGTGGCTTTTTATTTTTCTTTTGATTTCTATATTCAGGTTAACATTCAATGGTCCACTCGGATTATTTAAAACATACCTCTAATCTCAAGGATCATTCTGCATAGAGATACTGGAAAAAATCCCAAAGAATGTATGAGTCCAGTTAAATATTCCCCCAGGAAAATTCTTGAGCATAAATATCACTTCCTAGTAGTGAAAACTTACTCTGCACCCCAGGAATTCATTGATAACTTAGGGCTGATTTGCAATAAGAGTTTCTTGTCTGTTAGACACATTCACTTATCGGGAAGCCCACTAGGGTCTACGTTGATGAGGATATGTTGCAAAAGAACAACTGAGCTCTTGGCAGCTTTCCAAGTCCCAACTAACAGAAATAAGAATTCCCAGAGTATGAAAGCCCAGGTCTCACAAAATATTTCTTCCTCATGCCACAGATAAGCATAGTTGATGGAGATCCCTGAGTTGTATCAGCGACAGTAACTTGGCTCCTGATGCTTCTCTGGTGCCTGATGGAAAGACATTCCTGGGGATGCAATTCACGCCTCCTTTGTTTCCTCCCTGCTCTCCTAGGAAGGAAAATCACTGTGCTATTCATTTCTCACAGAACAGTAACAATGTCTACTACCCCACCTTATTGTTATAGGGACTTCCAGAGAAGACTCCAGGCACTCAATGGCAAGTCACCTGAGAATACACTGATTGATTTCACTCAGTACCCTGCCATGGGTTAAGGATTTAATAACGGTAAAAAAATAATTGAGGACTTTGGGAAGTACCCTAGCTAGTCTATTTGAAAATTCACTTTCCTGCCAACTTTCTCTCATTTTGTTGACAGACTCTAGAAACTTCCTTTCATCTCTTTCCTCTTTTTGCAGCTTAACCTGGTCCCTTAAGGAGTATGCTCTTTCTAGAAGATAGATTATGCACTACGCACAACATGAAAACTTTACACACTTTTCCTGTTGTCATCTGAAAGGCCTTTCTACCTGGAAGAAATAACTTATCTCACCTTTCATTTTCACATTGGTTTTACACAGAATTCCTTATGAGCACCAACATACTTAAACTTTATGGAGAGATATATGCTGAAACTTTGGTTCCTCTTAATTTTTCTTTTTCCCCAGTGAGATTTGTGACAGCTTTCCCCACTGCTGTTATCCATTATAGAAATTTAACTGCACTTTGAGGACATGTGATTTCAGAAACATGATCTAATTTTCTACCTAAAGAGAAGAAAAAAGCTAAAAGTAACAGGGGAAGGCAAAGTCTTGTGTAGCATAGAAAAGGCAGAGTTGTAATGCATGGAAAATACAAGGCAGTTACTCCATTTAATGTATAGGCTTCAAATTGAAAACTAACTAAATAAGTAAAATAAATTGTTATCAGAGAGCTTCTGCAGGTAGCCAGTCCATTAATAAAAAATGCATACTGAATAAATGGATCATAAATCAAGTTTTTGATTATCTAATAGTTTTCCATTGTAATCATCATCCAGAAAATGTTCTTAAGTTCCTAGTTGGCATACAGGGTGCTGGTTAGACTTCAAATTATGACATTTTTGCCCTCTGGGAGCTTATGAAGGTATACTGTCTCAAACCCAGAGAAGTGTTTTAGATCATTACTTACAAAACATCTTGCAAAACATTCAGAAATATAATGTGTCCGATAATAAAATAGAGGAGTACATTCAACTTTATACAAATTCACCTTAAAATCCAAACATCAATATTCTAATAATTTGATTCAAACTACACTAATGCATGGTGGTGACTACTGTCTCTGCATCCAACACCCACTAGTTAAAAACTGCTGCAAGTTCCAAATGTGAGTATTAAAATACTATGGATAAAGTATATTGAAGAACCTGGAGCTGCTTTCTGAAAAACACAGATCAGGGGACCAGCAGGCAGAAGCAATTCAATTTCGAATCCTTTTGCATGTATAGAAGACTGCTTCCCCTTCACAGCACAGACACACTCACCACTGAAACACTTCCCAGAAGTGCAACTAGAATCAAATGACTGCAATGCACATTCACAGGAAGTATCTGAAAAAGGTTATGGTGAGAAACTGCAGAGCTACACATCAAACTCTATTCCAATGACATCCTTTGAAGTTTGGCACTCAGCACCAATGCTAACTTGGCACCTCCACAGTACATGCAAGGACAGCATGCTCCACTCTGGCTCAAAGGCCAAAGACCGGTGTGATTGCAAGAAGATGCAAATAGTGAATGGCTTGGTGGAAATTGGCCAACCTTTGGAATGTGATAACTTATGCAAGATCTTCCCACTAAAGTCACAAATAAGGTGAAATTTACATAATGGCCCATCTCCTGTCGCAGAAATGCTGTGATGTAAACTTTAATGTGCTTTTTAAATTTCTGTAATTAACAAATACAAATTTCTATCAATTTCACAGTTTAAAATTTAGGACACTGTAAGTTTTACAAAAGTCTTCAACAGAGATAGAAATTACCCCTAAAATCAATCCATGAGAACATCTGCTAAACCGGTGGTTTCTATCCAAGCTCCACTCGCAAGTCCTACCTTCACTCCTCAGACAGTAGGAATCTCAGGGACCCCAGCATAGATATCTTTGAATTTTTTTTGATTTGTATTTAATGTGATTATTAGCTCTATTTTAGAACTTATTCCTCTGGCCTCTGGATCCCTCTTCGGGGTCACTGTGAGCCTGCCCCCTCCCTGTTTCTCCACTGGAGTGCTTTCTCTGCTCCTCCAGGGTGCCAGGCACTCACATTGTTCATGTATCTGATTGCATTTTTTTACATTATATAATTTCATTGAAGAATCATTGGCATTGTTGATGAATCACTGGATCATTACATCTATTAAAAAGCTATTTGTTCAAATTTTATCATAAAAACGTGAAAACATTTTATCCTATGTACAATGATGTACACAAATTTAAATAGGTCATCAAAGATACCTGAAGTAATTAAAGAGGTATATTTACAGTAGCACATCACAGTAGGTGGAAAACCACTCACAGATTCAACATTGATACTGTTTTTGTACTTAGTTACACACTGAAAGTGAAGCATACATTTCACTTCTCAGAGAAACCTTTCCTCAGCCTACACACTAAGTGAGGTCTCCCTGGTATGTGCACCCAGAGCCTTGAGCTGTAGCCCCTGATTCTCCAAGGAAACACTCAACCTACTTTTCCATGTTCATTGTTCATGCCTGTTTCCCTGGCCAAGCATAAGCTCCACGAGGGACTGGTCCTATCCAGTTTTCTCCCCAGAGCTTAAATAGTGTACCAGACACAGTAAGTTTAGTTAGGTTAGTTGTCGGGGGCAGGGGAGGGAATGTTTGAGGTTTTAGCACTCAATACAGGTTATATTAATTAAGAGCAAATTAGTACATTGTGCCTATCATGCTGACACTTCTATCATTAAGCTAATGGTGACCTCAAACTAACAACCACTTCCCTCACTGAGGCCTCTTAGAACACCAGAATGTTAGAGTCTGGCAAAGAGTCACATAATACCTGTTCTCACTTATACACCCATTGATAGTTCATTTTTCTTTGTCTCTCTTCACTTTTAACTGTATAATAGGCTTTAAAGTTCAGATGAGGGAGTACTTTAATGAATAATATACTAAATAAAGAACAATAGCATTAGCATAACTAAAACTCACACTTAGAGATAATTCATGGGCTTAACTAGTTTGCATGTTTTAACCAGATCATCTGTAAACACAAATTACATTTCTTTCCTAACTCTTTATTATAGTTTGAAGATGATAGAGACTCATATGAAAGGGAGTATTTGCAACAGATATAATAAAGGAAATAGTTTAGATGATACTACTTATTGTATTTTAATAATGGTAATGATTACAAAGATTGAAACAATGTACTAAATGGCTGAAATAATTATTTTCTTTAAGTAGCCAAAAGGGATTTTTAAGAGGTAAATAATTTCCTATCCTTGTCCAAAGTATATTAAACACGAGTTGACCAGTATCTTTAATGTATTAATCAATAAGCTCTCATCTGAAGGAATGCTATGTGGATTTATACAACTCTAAAGAAGGCTCTATAAATATCACATGATTTACTGCTGTTTTTAAGAGACAAGTTTCTGGTAATGACTAAGAAAGTGCTTCAGGCAAATTAGTGTGACATACAGAAAATTCAGTACTGGTTGCAAGAAGTTCATAAATAAGGCAGGAAATATAAATAAGTAGAATAATTTGGAATGGTAATAAGCTGGTAATGCTAATAATGCTAATAACAATCCTAATAAGGATTGTTACTGTAAACGTGAAGATGTGGATATGTATGTGTAAATCTATAGAACTATGTCTAGCAAATTCAAAATGTGTCTCCACTAGTTAACCAGAAAACAGTGTAGCAAAAGTCACCTTTAACTGTAGCTTGTGTTTCTTGTTTTGGCAGACTTACCATATTGAGACATTCTGAGGAAACTGAGTTATGTCTATAGCATTTATGAGTTCTCCAATGGGAACATCCCCAACAAAGAAAGGCAGAACTATCATAGGTAAATAAAATCAAGGACAGGTAGAATCCACAGACAAATTGTAAATTATATTACTGATACATTCCCTTTGCATTTAACAACTCTTGTCCTGTTTATGTGGCCTCTTATTGGGATATACTGAATTAGGAGATACAATAGCCTCTTTTTATCTGACATCTGTAAGCAGAATTGTCATTCCCCTCTCATGAGGAATTCAGATGTGCTGCACTCAAAACACACTCAGATTCTAATTCCAAACATTAACTAGACTCATGCATTTCATCTCAAATCTGGGAATTCCCATATTGATAATTCTATAGAAAGAATACAAGATAACAAGATAGACATACCAAAAAGATGACTAAGCCCTATAAACACTAAACAAAAATAGAATTTTCCAAAGGGAGATTAAAACAAAAAAAGGAGAAAGAAATTGCTGTGGATCTGAGAACTCTGTTGTAGTCAAGTGAATTTTTTACTCCAATTATTTACTTCTCCCTGTGCCCATGCTCCTCACCATATAACTTTGAAATTTCTCTCAGAAAGGGTCACATGTATTTCCCCACCCTTTTGGATACAGCCTAAAACTTGCTTTTGCCCGGGCACAGTGGCTGACATCTGTAATCCCAGCACTTTGGGAGGCCGAGGCAGGTGGATCACCCGAGGTCAGGAGTTTGAGACCAGCCTGGCCAACATGGTGAAATCCCGTCTCTACTAAATATACAGAAATTAGTTGGGTGTGGTGGTACGTCCCTGTAATCCCAGCTACTCAGGAGGCTGAGGCAGGGGAATTGCTTAAACCTGGGAGGTGGAGGTTGCAGTGAGCTGAGATTGCGTCACTGCACTTCAGCCTGGGCGACAGAGTGAGACTCTGTCTCAAAATAAATTAATTTAAAAAATAAAATTTGCTTGGACTAATAAGATGCAGGCATAAGGGTTTGCCAGCTGTACACCAACATCTTACATAGCACTGTGGTTTCTGCTTGCCCCAGTGTTCTGCAGCCATGACCGTCAGAAGAGTAGGAGAGACACACGGATTAGAAATGACTCCAAGCACAGGCAGGAGCTAAACCTGGCCAGACCTGGAACTAGAAGCAAAGCTACCCAGCTGAGCCCAAACTATATGAAACATCCCAGCTAATCCACATGCATGGGATAAACAAATGCTTATGTTTGAAAACCATTAAGAGCTTGAGGTTATTTCTTACACAGCATTCTTGTGACAATGGCTACCTGATACATTGATAAATTAAAGTGGGCAAAAGAAATATTCTTCCCTTCTAGTAATCTGTAAATAATACTTCCCTCCTGCTGAGATTTAGCTTTCGTTCACTTACAGTGAAAGTCAGCAAATTACGCCTGACTGAAAGAGTGTTACCTCCAATGAGTTCATTCTTGGTTGGCCACTGACTTACTTTTTTCCTCATTATCATGCTGACAATCATATTGACTTTCAAATGCTTACCCTTTCTCTAATGTGTTGGGGATACCAACCCCTGTATGACCTCATCTGTAAACTTGTGGGGTTAAGTGATCACTGGTTCTTCAGGGCCCAGACTTCCAAGGAGAGATGTGTGGAAGACCACAGCATGGTGGGCAGAGGAGGAAAGCTAAACAATAGGAGTGCTAACCTATCAATCAGCCTAACTCTGCTTCCATCTGTGTTAGCTACGGATTCTTCATGTGGAAAATCAGTTTTACTGTATAAATATCAAAAACTACTAGACCAGATGTTTTCTAAAGATCTAATACTCAAAGACTTATGATTACATTTTTTATTTTAACCACCCCTTCTTTTTATTTCTATTCCCATGACCCTAATTTAAGACACTATCACCTAAACTCCTGTATCACTTCCTAACCTGACCGCCGGCTTTAAGCTGTAAATTGTGTGATTTTATTCCCCTACTTAAAACGAGAGAAAACACAACTTTAACAGGGCCCCCAGGCTCTCCCTACCTCTCCAGTCTCATTTCCTGCCCCACTTCCCCACCTTTCATCCTGGCTTAGAACACACCCCACACTTCATCACCTCGGGGTTTTCTCCCATGCTGTTCCCTCTGCTGGAAATGCTCATCCTCTATTCGTTTTGCCCCTCAGTGTCATGTTATAAGTCTGCCTCTCAGAGAGACTTTCTTCGATCACCTAAACTACAGAAGGCCCCATCTGACCCCATCATTCTCTATGACAGCACATTCTTCTTTCTTTCTTTGCACTTATGACTTACAGTTATAGAAACATTTGTTGGTTGTTATATCATTCAACTTTCTATTAAGTATCAGTTCCAGGTGGCCAGGGGTGAAGTTGTCTGGTTTATTTTTGTATTTTTAGGACCCAAAGCAGTACCTGGCACATAGTATATACTCAGTAATACAGATGAGTGGATGAACTGATGAACTTCTTAGCTTTTGTCAACATTTTTTTCTACCACTTTTCTATACCATATAACATTTCCCTAGAACATGTGATCTCAGTTTTTCATTTGCTTATACCTGCTCTCTTAGTTACCTTCCTTAATCCATGCATAATATTCCTTATGTTCTTGAACATTAGAATTTTCTCTTCAACTTTCTTTATTCATCATACTTCCCTCTTCTTACTCTTTTCATGCGCGAGTGGTCACTATCTGGTAGGTTATGGGAGATTATTATAAAGCTGATCCCAAATCTTAGATTCTATTTAGGATAAAATTAACAAGAATAGTCCTTCAATAAATGAGATCAGATGCCTGTAGAAGTAAATACTCTATGCCACCTGACTGAGGTGACTGAAGAGTTTGGCAGATACCTAAATTCCAAGTAAGATGGCCAGGAAACGGTTTTAGGAAAAAACAATAACAAAAATTATATCCTAGCTAATTTCACTGACCTCCATCAGAAGAAAAGAAAAAAAAATAAGTGCTTGGTTTGTGTTTAGTCTAGAAAATATGGACACAATGAACAAATAATTTGGAACTCCATTGCTGGAATGTGGATTTTCCAGCGATGCCTGGAATAGAGAAAAAACATATCTGATAAAGGTAATATTGTGATTATCAGAGAAATGGAGGCTGTGGGAGGGAAATGTATTGGTCACAAGCTCTCACTGCAGTTTAAATGCACCACTTAAGAGGATGCTTTGAGAGTAGGCATGAGGCTACTGGCTGCTGAAATAAGAGCTCCCTCTGCAAGTAAAGAAGCTGGCATTTCGGCTTAGGCAGCAGTCTCTGGTGAGCTGGTTTAGTATGAATCAACTTCCAAAAATTCAATCTATTCTGGGTGTACTGAAAACATTTAGTTTCTTGTTCTGTAAAGCCAAGATCCACACCTTAAACCACGGTTCTGAAAGAAAATGCCCGAGCCTGAGCAGTCAGTAGCCTTCCTCGGACTCCAGTTACATCTTGCCTGGCTTTCTTTCCAATTCTCATATGAACGACACTCTATTTCTTGTTATTGGCCATACCTATTACTATCAACCTGTTGATAATTACATGATGTACTTTTGTGAGCACGTGATTACACAAAATGGAATTAAGAAATGCGAGCATTTTTTTGTCATCGTGGCAATCCGACACTCCTTAGAGCTAAGACACAATGCCATAGTCTCAGCATACATTTTTGTGAGTGCAGTCCTAGGATTCCCCTTTTACCCAATGTTATAAATTTGGATAATGTCTTGGAAAGTTGTTTGGGAGCTCATAAGCTACCTGTAGTAAACAGCATATGGGACAATTAATAAAGAAAGGTGCTAGAGAAAATACCAAAACTTTTCAGACCTGGGACGGAAATCTTCCCCACAGTTGGATGCTCCATCTCCATAACGAGGCCATTGTGTAATACCTGAAAAGGCAAAAACAGAGAGAAAAATAATTTACAAAATAAAACCATCTTCAATTGCAAGGCATGGACAGCCATCTATTCAGTCGACATCAAAGAAAGATATGGCAAAACACAGAAGTGTTTAACATTTTCATTTGAAAGTAAACATTTGACATAAAAATAACGTTTCATCCTATAATACACCAAATGAAGCCAAAAAAGACTAGAGGATTCACGGACTAGAAAACATTTCAATAAGACCTTCCCACTCTTAAAATTTTTATTTGCTCCTAAATATAGCAGATGATTTCCTCTCTTTCATTTATGGATGCTCCCCTAATATTAAAGCTCAGCCTTTTCCTGCATAACCTTATGGCAGGACTCGGCCAAGGTCAAGAAATAGGACCTCAAACAGAGCAGCACACTGGGGTGGTACACATGCTCCTGGAAATCTGTTCAGCAGAAGGTATGGGGAGTCAGTCCAGTTTGAAGAATAAATCAGAGTATCCAGAAGGCTCGGTGACTGCTGGAGGTGGAAGGATTCAGGGCTGCTGTGACAAGCAAATAAGCAGCTGACAGCAAATCCAGAGGAGACCCAGGTCAGAAGCAAGCACAGGGAAGCTGAACCAGGAACATTTTCAATGGTGGCCAAGACCTTAAGCATAAGACTAGAGTTCAGAAACAGGATTCCAGGATACTGGAGTAAAAAAGCCAGAGACTTCATCCCAGAGGGCTGATTAGGTTCTCATGCAATGGTGAGGCAGGAAATTTAAAAAATAATAATAAAATAAAATAAATTTTTCTATATTAAATTAATTTATTTCAAAGACAACAATAAGTATATTTTTATAAATTCTTATTCTCTATAACTAATAACTTCAAATATTCTATTTTCTCTAAAAATACAACAAAAATCATAAAAAAACTAAACAAACCTAAAACTACAACTATTAAACACCATAATAAAAATTATAAAATAAACCAATACAAAACTCTTTAAAACAAAACCTAAATAATAAACATCTAAATTAGTTAAAAACAATCATATACAATCATAAATTATAAACCTATTACAATTTAATTAACTATCTTTATCCTGCTTCTAGATCCCTACTTTCACGCCACTATAAACTTACTTCAAACTAACCCACCCCCTTTTATAAAATATACATAAAAATCAAATACTATCTTTATTCTAAACCCAATCTTTAAACATTAAATCTACTAAATCTAAATACACTCAGTAATAAAAATACCCTCCTACATACACCCCAAAGTCTCTCTCTAATCCTCCTAATCCCACAACAATGGGACCGAGATAGGTATCTAGTGTCCCACCAAGAACACAAGGTAGCTTTGGCTTGGATTTAAAATCTAAGGCCAGTTACTAGTGCAGGGACATTCTACCAGTGCCTGACAAGAGAAATGTGACTTGATGCTGAATCACTTGAGTACTGAAATGAAGCAACTTAAATCCCTGGCAAACGAAGGCTGGAATTTTCCCTGGGGGTAAGCAAAAAGACAAAATCCCCAGTGCCCTCCAACTAAAGGTGGTGGATGGGCTGAGGGCATGGAACCAAATTCTGATACATAAGTGTTGAATTATTGGAGGCAAAATGTTTTGTGATACGCAAATAAAAATGCAACACATTTTTTTATTTAAAAAAAAACAATTGGAGGCTACCTGGGTATACTGTCCCAAAGAATCCAACATCTATTACTGGAACCTTAGTAAGACATTTATGGGCATCTTACATATAAATTGTGTTTCACCTACACTATCTACCAAGCACAGAACCTCTCTTCCTGTCTTGTACGTGCATCTAAATGACAGAAGTATTTCAGTGGCACAGTAATCTTACAGACCACGATTTCATGCCAGCATCCCAAAGAGTGGCAGCTATAATGGTTCTACAGCATTTTGAGCTTCAGGTAAAAGCAAGATTTGCATATCTACCTTCTTACCATAATCCATTCACAGAGCAAAAGAGCATGGAATAAAGAAAGTAATAAAATGTTTTCTCACTTTGTTAAACTCGGAGAGAGAGCTCAAATTTCTTGGGTTTTATTCATTTCTAGTGAGTCACATCATAAAATAAATCATCAATAAGACAACTTCACGGGTGACCTTTTAAGTTTAGAACTACAGTTTTGCTATGGCTAAATATTCTGGCTGCCACTGGTTTCTTTGGGAATGGTTACCACTTTTCGGGTGATGCTCTTTAAACAACGATGTCAACCTCCCTCATTGAGGATGATAACACACCACACAGAGATGCTTTCTTTTGGGATCACCAGGTTTGTACTCAAGAGCTGGCCAGATAAAATTCTCGCCAGTGTTAGAATTGTGCTATAATTTAATTCTGGTGTGGCTCGTTCTCAGCACCCGCCCCGCACAGCTTCCTCCTATGTGGGGGTGGGGGCTAAATGCCAACGGGAGGTGCTAAATCTCAGTTCTACTGAGGACAGGAACAAAAATACCGAGCTAAATTTCACTCAAAACAATTATCTGCACACTGAATCATTCTTCTCTCCTCGTATCTCTGTTGCCCTCCTGACTACCTCTTTGTAATAACACTGCAGTGCTACTCACGAAAGACAAAAGTGAGTGTTCTTAGCTAAATATAACTTAACTGATAGTGTTGAAATTAATTAACGCTGAATTTTAATCATGTAGCAAACGTTAAGTGTCAAACGTGAAAGGGTAGTTGGTAAAGGTCAAGGGACATACGTCAAAGTTTTGTGAAGCAAAAGCTAGCAGTTGATTGAAATTTTCCACGGAAGCAGTTTAAAGAGCGTACTTTCTCCACCCCTATGCCGATTGCTGTCTATATAGGATATTTTCAGTATGACACTTTAACCTTATCAATGCCTTTGCATTGAAAACCATTCCGTTTTAAGCAAAAATATAAATTCTTCTTACATTCGGCAGAGGAAGTTGCAGTTTCTCATTTGCTGTAGCATGCATACAATTATGAGGCAAATGGGCTGGTGTGAGCCCCGTGTTCAGAAGGAACTGATGTATTCCCCTGCTTGGTTGCCGCCAACCTTTTCATATAAAGTGTGAAGTCCATACAATTCCATAGGCTTTCTTCTTGAATCAGGTCAGAATATCCCACAGAACAATGGAGGCTGTGGCAGTGCTGTCCCTGGAAACCCTGCCTAATGACTTGGAATCTTGGAAAACTCTCCAGCCTTGTTTGTGGGGCGAATCCTGCTCTGCTTAGTAACATATTAGAGGATTTCAGAACCCAGGAAGTCTGTCTGAATTCTAACATAAATCTCTCCTGCTTCATTACCCTTTCACGTTTGACACTTCAACTCCCTTTCATGTTTGACACTTAACTTTGCCACATGATTAAATTTGTCCCCTCTAAACTTCATTGGAAATGAAGGAACTACCTGTTATCACCATTTGTATAACATTTTTTGGTGAATGGTTACTAAATGTTTCCTTGTTCTTTTCTCATCTGGCCCCAACACCCCAACCTCTATCACCTTAACCTAGAAATTCAATTAAAAAATGTTTTGTTTTTCTGACCACTAACAATTAACTGCTATAATTTCCCTTAAGATATTCATGGCTTAAAGAGAGTTTCATGCCTTGGTGCTAGGTCTGGCCATTCAGGGCATTCTTTGTTGCATATTGAGTTATTTCAATATAAGGCAGGGAATTTCTCCAGAATTTTGTAGTGAATTTTGTCCATTTAGCAATGTCTTTGGATTTTACTGTTTTCTCCTTCATTTTACTTATTTTATCCTTCCTAGGTCTTTCATGGTTTAGTAGCTCTTCTAAATTCCATTTCTTCTCCTTGAAATTTCAAAAGCCTATTCTTGACAAGAATAGAATTGTAGTCAGTGCGCCAACCTCTTTAGCAAAGTATCAGGCCTATTTAAAATAAGGTCTCTCTTTCTTTCTCAAGCGTTTTACAGATTGACAGCCTAATGACAGAGTCAAGTGGTAATGTATTAATGATGGGGGGAAAGAGTAAAATGTATACCTTAAAGTAACGTGGGAAATAAAAGTTTAAGTGAAAGTAAGAAAGTCTTTTTATAAAGTCCTATGGCAGAAATGGCAGAAGAAAAAAATTTGTAATATAGCACTAGCAAGACAAAAAATGCAAAAAATAAAAATCCATAGACAGTGAAAATATTTATGGAAAGTGAGAGAGGAATATTCTAATGAAAAGACATGAAATTACATATACAAATGATATTTGTAAACACTACAGTGTCCTTACACATATCAAAATCAAAGTAATACCATCAATGGTATTAGCAATAATGTACAAAAGAGAACTGACCTATCTATTCACTGTGGATAATGATATGACCTATTCATTCAACAAACACGATAGCACTTATATGCTAGGCAAAATGAAGAAGCTGGCAGTGAAAAGATGAATGAACCTGCATTAAAAATGTATGTAATTAGAAGAGAGGGTACAGAATAAGAGATCTTTTTCATAACACAGTCATATAAATTGTTATAACACAGTTTAAGCTCCATAACAAAGGAGCAAATCCAAAGAGGAGCAAGTAAGTAACTCTGCCTATCTTGAAAGAAGTTGGTGATTTGTTAGATTAAGATAATATGACTTAGGTCAGGGAGGTTAGTAAAGACCAGAGAACAAAGATAATGTTGAAATTAGATGTTAAGGTTAAAAATAACAATGATAAATGTAGTAACAGCAGGTGCTGCTCAGCAAAACTCCTTAAGGGTCAGGCATTGGGTTAGGACATAAAGCTTTATTCATTTAATCCTCTCATTAACCAGACTAGGTAGGAATTATTATCTTCACCTCTACTGATAAGGTGTTAGAAACCTAGAGGGGCTAAGTATTTGTCCAAGATTTCACAATTACTAAATGGCTGATCTTGGATTATAATTTAGGTGTGTCTAATTTAGCCAGGTTCTGGCAGTTGGAGACAAAAAAAAATGGAAAAGCTTTATTTGATTTACCATTAAAATAACTAGCTGATGTGGTCAATTCTGTAAAAAAAATTAGTCACTTTAGTGGGGAAAGAAAATCAGCCAAACAGATTACATGACACCATGTGGTCCTATTAGTTAATACACTGAGCTGCACCATTGCAGGTAGCCAAGGATACTCTGGCACCACAGATACAAAGGCTGTGAAAATTGGAAGTATTTGAAGGGGATGGACCCAGAGGGTGATCTTGGGCAAGGCATTTAAGTAGTCTAAGGCTTAAAACCCTCATCAGTGGCCAGGCGTGGTGGCCCACATCTGTAATCCCAGCACTTTGGGAGGCCGAGGCAGGTGGATCACCTGAGTTCAGGAGTTCAAGACCAGCCTGGCCGACATGGCGAAACCCCGCGTCTACTAAAAAAAAAAAAAAAAAATTTAGCCAGGTGTGGTGGTGTGTGCCTGTAATCTCAGCTACTCGGGAGGCTGAGACAGGAGAATCGCTTGAACCCAGGAGACGGAGGTTGCAGTGAGTCAAGATTGTGCTACTGCACTCCAGCCTGGGCGACAGAGCAAGACTCCGTTTCAAAAATATATATTCAAAAAATTTTAAAAATAGAAAATTTAAAAAAAGAATCTTTATTAGTAAAAAGGGGATAATAATATCTCTTTCTAAGGGACGAAGTGCAATGATGAGTATAAAGCCCTGAGCATAGGCCCTGGTGCAGAGTGTGCTCACAAGAAGCGGCAACTGTTTTTCCTGTTACCAATAGACTGGGTTCAAACTCTGGCTTCATCAGGTACAAGATGTGTGGCTTTGGGGTACATTCATTGAACACATATTAAATGTACTAACAGTAAAGAACAATAATTAATAATAAGCATTAAATACATACTAATGTGCCAGGCATTGTTAAGTGCTGAGGAAAAACTGGGTCACAGAAAACTCAAGGTCATGCCCTCAAGAAGCTTACTGCCTTTTAAGGGAAACTTTCCAATTAAGCAGAAACCACTGGTCTGTTATTGTTACATAATATTATCTGTTTTGTCCCCTGCTATATGCCCAGTGCCATGAATGTTATCTGGCACTATCTGGTAGATGCTCAATTAACATTTACTGAATTTTTTTAAATTAAATTGAATTAACTGAGTAAATTGCAGGTACTTCCTTTTGGTTTCTTTATTTTATAGAAGTTGGGGGAGAGTGCTCTTATTTTAAGCTTTTAATGAATGCCTAGAGTTCTCTAGACACAAAACTGTTTTACTGAATTTCCAAAATACAGTCATTTTTAGGAACTTAGATATCAAGTTCTAGTGTTGCCTTGCAATTTCTTCAGTTTTCTAAAGCAGCTTCCAGCTGATCTTGAATCTGCCATATACACTGTACATATTTTAAGACACTCCAGAGGCCATGCCGAGAAGCTCTGCATGGACAATGGTCATTATCGATAAAGGAAAGCCAAAAAACATGGGCATGCACATTTATACATGTGAAATTAATCTACTAAACTTGAAGAAAACAATTACAGAGTTCTTCTTCATTAAGAATACTCAGAAAACCATTTTTAAAACACACAATATCTTACTAAGCAAAAAACACTGGAGTAATATTCTTTATTTTATTTCCCATTTTAGCAATTTAGTCATTCCTTTAGCATAATAGGAAAACAACCTTGGAATAATATTTGAAAGGTTACATAACTGAAGGCAAAACTTACAGTGAATATATTAAAAAGTTAATTCAACTATTTCTGAAAACTGTGCCCTCAAAAAATGCAAAAATAACATAAATTCCTGACAACAAATTGACATGAAATTTCCTAACTTTACTTACATCAGGGGTCCGCAAACCGGTACCATGGTCCATGGTATGGGGGTCCACAAACCAGTACCGGTCCTTGGCCTGTTAGGAAGTGACCTGAACAGCAGGAGGTGAGCAGTGGGCAAGGAGCATTACAGCTTGAGCTCCGCCTCCTGTCAGATGAGCGGCAGCATTAGATTCTCATAGGAGCGGGAAGCCTATTGTGAACTGCACATGTGAGGGATCTCGGTTGGACGCTGTTTATGAGAATCTAATGATAAATGTAATACCCTTGAATCATCCTGAAACCATCCCCCATCCCCGTCCATGGAAAAACTGTCTTCTACAAAACTGGCCCTGGTGCCAAAAAGATTGGGGACAGCTGACTTAGATAATGAAGATCACATGTAAAAGCTGACTTTTTTTGTTATCTTACTTCTTTGAAACAATTCACTGTTACTAAATTTCATTCTGCTGTGAATGCACCTGACATAGCCTTTTTCCTATTTTCTCTAATTTAAAAAAACTATGAAAATTGGTCATGCAATATACACACACACATAATTTACACAAACACATATATAATGTGTGTGCATATATATAGTGTGTATACATATAATGTACATAATATACACACACGTATATATAGCTTAATGTAGACTAATAAAATGAACACCCATGCACCAAACACCCAGCCTGAGAAACAGAACTACCAAAATGTTTAAAGTCCCAGGTGTACCCAGTCCCTCCCTCTTCTATCCCCAAATATAATTCTCCTGAATTTTGTTAATCTTTTCCTTTCTTTTTTTCTACTTGTATCAGTGTGTATATACTCCAAATATTTAGTTCTGGATTTCACCCATTTATAACATTTAATTCAATGAAATCAAGCATATGCTTCTCTGACTTGCTTTTTCTCATAACATTGTTTCTGAGATTCACCCATTCTGAGGCATGAGGCCATAGGCTAATCATGGCCATTAATATGAAGTATGCCATTGTATAAATACTCCATAATTTAACTGACTCTGCTTTTAGGTAGCTTCCAGTTATTTTACCATGGCAAACAATGCTGCCATTAACCCATCTCTTCATGCAACAATTTTTCTAGGGTATAAACCTAGAGCTAGATTTGCTATGGCATAGTGTTAAATATATCTTCACTTGTTGGGTAATGACAAATAATTTTCCTTAATCACTTACCAATCACTCCCACCAGTTGCTTTATATCTCAGCAAAACTTAATATTATCAGAGTTTTTAGGTTTTGCCAATCTGATCACTGTGAAATGGTATCTTATTAAAGCTTTAACTTGCATTTCCTTAATTACTAATCAGGTTGAGTATATTTTCCCTGCTTAATAGTAATTTGCATTTCCTCTTAAATGAAATGCTTATTCAAGAAGCTTTTCTACTGGCTTAATTATATTTTTATTTTTCTTTCTTTTTTTTTTTGAGACAGAGTCTCACTTTATCACCCAGGCTGGAGTGCAGTGGCGTGATCTCGGCTCACTGAACCCTCCTGGGTTCAGGCAATTCTCGTGCCTCAGCCTCCTGACTAGCTGGGATTACAGGCCTGTGCCACCACACTCGGCTAATTATTTGTATTTTTAGTAGAGACAGGGTTTCTCCATGTTATCTGACAGTCTTGAACTCCTGGCCTCAAGTGATCTGCCTGCCTCATCTCCCAAAGTGCTGGGATTACAGGTGTGAGCCACCATGCCAGGATGCTATCATGTATGAGTTTTTTACATATTCTGGATATGAATTCTTCATTGGTACATGAAAATACTGGAATTGAAATTATGGCTTTATTTCTCATTTATTTTGTATTATGTTTTGATGACCAAAAGTTCTTAATTTCAGCATTTTCAAACTTACTGAAATTTTCCTTTTGTTCTTCGCTTTTTATGACATATTTTAAAAATTATTTCCTATTCTTAAGTGTTAAAGATATTATCCTAAATTTTCTTATAAAATGTTTAAACCTTGATGCATTTATTCATAATAAAAGGTCACAAGTTAGGGATTGAAGGGAATAATCTCAACTTTTTAAAGAGCACCTACAAAAAATCTAAAGATAACATCATACTTAATGGTGAAATACTGAATGCTTTTCCTCTAAGATTGAAAATGAGGCAAGGAAAAAAATAATAATAAAAATAAAATAATAAAAATTAAAAATAAAATAAAAATAAAATAAAATGAGGCAAGGATGTCTGCTCCCACCACTCTTATTTGACTTATTACTAGAAGTTCTAGACACTGCAATAATCAAGAAAAGAAAAACATAAAAGGCACACAGATTGGAAAAATAAATAAAATAAAAATAAAAGGAACAAATATAAAAAATTAAAAGAAAAATTTAAAAAGGAAGAAATCATACAGATAACACAATTGTCCACATTGTCAAGAAAATATACAAAAATACTCTTAGGACTAATAAATGACTTCTTCAAGGTCTTAGGATACAAGACCAATGTACAGAGATCAATCATATTTTTGTATACCGACAATAAACATGTGCAAACCAAAATTAAAAACAACACCATTAATAGTCACTAAAAATAAAATGAAATACTTAGATATAAACAACAAAAAAATGTATAGACTGTGTATGCTGGAAATTATAAAATGTTGATGAAAGAAATCAATCAAGACCTAAACAAGTGGAGAAGCATACTATGTTCATGGACTGGATGATTCAACATAGTAAAGATCCCAATTCTCCCAAAATGTATAAGTTTAATGCAATTCTTACCAAAGTCCCAGGAAAGCTTTTTTGTAAACTTTTTAAAAAGTTCATTTTAAAATTTATATGGAAAGATAACAGCCTCAGAATGGCTTACACAATCATAAAAATAATAAAGAGATAATTACTCTATCTGATATTAAGATATACTATATAACTGCTAAACACCAAGCAGGTACTAGGAGAATATCATATTGGCAGAGAGACAGACACATAAATCAATAGAACAACAGAGAACTCAGAAATAGATCCACACAAATATGTCCAAATAATTTTTGACAAAGGTACAAATGCAATAGAGGAAGTAATACAGCCTTTTTGACAAATGGCACTGAAACATGTGTACTGGAGCTGGGGGGAAAAAAGAAACTCAACATAAAGCTCACATTGTAAAAAATTAATTCAAAACGGATCATAGATTTAAATGGAAAATGGTAACTATAAAATTTAGGAAAATAAACAGGAAAAATATTTAAATAAGAAAATAAACAGGAAAAACTATGGTACATCCATATTATGGAATACTCCTTAGCAATGAAAAGGAACAAACTATTGATTCACACAACAACCTGCGTCAATCTTAAGGGAATTGTGCTGAGTGAAAAACACCAATCCAAAAGATTACATAGTATATGATTTCATTGAACATAGCATTCTTGAAATGACAACATTCTAGAAGCAGAGAACAGATTGGGGGTCTCCAGAAGTTAGAGGAGAAATGGGAGTGGAGGGAAGGGAGGTGCATGTGGCTATAAAAGGGCAGCAGGAGAGATTTTCGTGGTGATGGAACTCTTCTCTATCTTGACTATATCAATGTCAATGCCCTCAATGTGATATTGTGGTATAGTTTTGCAAGAAGTTACCATTGGGGAACAGGGCTACATGGGATCTCTCTGTATTATTTCTTATCACTGCATGTTAATCTATAATTCTCTCAAAACAAAAAGCTTTTTTTTAATTATGGTCTCCTGTGGGTATAATGTGAGAGGGGACTCAATTTTATTTTCTCAGCTAGAAATATATTGATGAATAGAGTTTTAGTAGAAAACATTTTTATCTTGTTCCTAATTTTAAAGGAAATGCACTTAATGCCTCATCACTGAGTATGTTTGTGACAAGGAATAATGGCATACTTTATCAAGTTATAGAATCTATTCCTAGTTTGATGAGAAATTTTATTATAGATGTTTACTTACAGCAAATGGCTTTTAATCCATCTACTGGGAGGATCATATAATTTTTCTCCATTAATCTGATCACTTACAACTGCAGTAAGTGATCAAATGTATTGTCTTAAAATTGTTTGTTACTTGTACAATTTTAGAATAATTATCTGTTTCAGGTGAATTCAAATTTTTATTGACATGAGGTGACTTGAACAGTAATGCATTTTGTTTTAAAGTCGGTAGCATCTAACATTACTAAAGCTACACTGGCTTCATTTTGGTTTGTATGTTCTTCAAACATCATTTTTAACCTATATATATGCAACCTTTCTAAGTTTTTAGTTTTATGTGTATCTCTTGAAAATAGAAAATAGCAGGATTTATTCTATCTTTGCCTTTTAACTGAAAAGTTTACTGCATTTACATGAATTGACATTATTGACATGTTTTAATTCATCTTAGAATCTTACTTAGTGCCTATTTTTGGCCCCCTATAAAAAAATTCCCATCTTGCTGTGTTTGAGATTGATTGAGATTGTTTCCTCACATTTACTAGTTTGAAGATATATACTCTATCAAAAGGATAATCTTTTTTTTTTTTTTTTTTTTTTTAAGATGGAGTCTCGCTCTCTCACCCAGGCTGGAGTGCAGTGCTGTGATCTTGGCTCACTGCAACCTCTGCCTCCCTAGTTCAAGCGATTCTCCTGCCTCAGCCTCCTGAGTAGCTGGGATTACAGGTGCACACCACCACACCCAGCTTTTTGTATTTTTAGTAGAAACGGGGTTTTACCATGTTGGCCAGGATGGTCTTGATCTCCTGACCTCGTGATCTGCGCGATTATAGGCATGAGCCTCTGCGCCCGGCCTTTTTTTTTGTTTTTTTTGAGACGGAGTTTTACTCTTGTTGCCCAGGCCAGAGTGCAGTGGCACCATCTTGGCTCACTGCAACCTCCACCTCCTGGGTTATAGCGATTCTCCTGCCTCAGCCTCCCAAGTAGCTGGGATTACAGGCGCCCGCCACCACCCCTGGCTAATTTTTATATCAAGACGAAATTTTTTTTCCTCCAGAAGTCTTAACATGCATATTTAACTTAACAAAATAAAAATGTAATCAATACCAGTTATCCCCGTATCAATTATATGCCAGGATCCAGTTATCCCCCTACCAATTTATATGCCAGATGTTTTCAAACTTTCTTGGTTCCCCACATTTTTTCTGTCTCTGTAAATTTTTCATAATGCCCTTAGGCAAAAAGGAATACTGTTTTGTGTATTAAGTAGTATTGTTTTGTTTATTAATTAAGTAAAAACAATATGTATTCATATCCTAATAACTGAGTGGTCATTTGAAAAAATAATAGACATAAATTATAATAAAAGAAAAAAAATCTTTATTTGATTCTTAGCCACTATTACTTTCTAACAGTATATGTACATCTGTTAGGCACAGTAAAACTTCTTAAATCTTGGAATTGAATCAGATATCTCCATCCATATTTCTTGTTTTATATTGATTTTCTCTTGGTACTTGCATTTTTTTCATAGCAACATCCATCCAAAAACCAAGTTTGATCAAATGTGTTTATCAAAGGAATGTAGTGTGATTCAATGTCGAAGCTGTGAACTTGAGGACACTCTGTGCTGTGTCCAATATACATTGCCCTGTTTCCCTAGAAAATATAAACATCCTGCAGTGCCCCTGCGCATTCACTAGGATGTCATGAGTGCCTCAGTACATAGTTTGAGAACCACAGTTACCTGCAATTGGGTTCAGCATTTTGGTTTTCTATTTTTTTAATCTGGAAATCATTAGTATCAATACCGTTTTTCAAAATCAATGATTTTTAGCTTACTGTATGCTTATGCTAATTTTTGATCCCCATTTTTTTATCTTAGGCTTTCCTTTAGTGGCTATATTCTCTCTTCCTGTAGAATAGTTCTTTAGAATTTCCTTACTCATCTGTTCATAGTAAGTTCTCCTAGTAAGTTGGTTTTATTTTCCCCAAAGTTACTTTGCTTCCAAATAAAGATATTTTTTTCTTTATTTTTTTTCTTTCTTCTAAAAGATTTGTATTGGTTGTACATTTCTAAGCTGACAGTTAACCTTCTGTTGGTATACTGATGATATTATTCCATTGTCTTCTGAGTTTCACTATTGTTTTCAAGAAGTCAGCCATGATTCTAATTGTCTTTGCTTTGTAGGTAATCTGTATTTTTTTCCTCTGAGTGATTTAAAGATCTCTATGTCTTCTGTTTTCTACAGTTTAACCACCATCAGTCTAAACCTAAATACCTTTTTATTTAATGTATTTAATTTTTACTGAATCCATGTAGTCTTTAGGACTTCCTGAGTCTGAAAAATTATGTCTTCAAAAGTTTTGGAAAATTCCTAAGCATGGTAAAATATTGCCTCTGCCTATTTTCTCTAGCTTCCCCTGGAACTGCAGTTATATATACATTTATATATACACATAAATGTATATATAATGTATTATAAGATATAATAGATTATATAAATATTATAATATATTATATATTATATATTGAAATATTATAATATATTATATATTATATATTGATATATTATAATATATTATATATTGATATATTATATATTGATAAATTACATATATAAAATTAATGCAAATTTTAGCTATATATTAGATGTGATCACACTGTATGTCTCTGCCTCTCTTGTATTTCCTATGTGTGTGTGTGTCTCTCTGGGTTGAGTTGTAATTAATTTATTCAGATCTATGTATCCAATCATGAATTCTCTCTTCTATCTAATCTACCATTTAATTTGCTGTGCAGTTGTTCTTAATCCAGAGATGATTTGCATTCTGTTTTTCTAAGTGCTTAAGGGCACCTCTGAAATAGAACCACATTAAACTTAATTTTCTGTTTGGTGGTTTTTGGGCCAAGTAGAATTAATTACTGTCCTATATATAGGACAGTAGATTTGTAGATAGCTCATCTCCTAGCCCCAGAAAAATGAGAGATTTTCAAGAACCATGGTCAAAACAGGTTAGAATATCTACTGTTTTTTTCTTCAGTCTTCAATGACAGGTTTTAAAATTTGTTTGCTTTCTTTTTTGTTTTGTTTTGTTTTTTACCTAGTTCACCCACTGACATTGCTGACTTTTGGATGTCCGACCTTTATTTTGAAGTTTCTATTCTATCTCCCACCTACTGTGGACTTCAGGATTCTTGTAATATCCTCATTTCTTATGGCCCATAAAGTTCAGGTTCTAAGCTAAAGAGTATTAGCAAATGCTGGTTCTAGTGCTTGCTTCTCTGCATGCATGTTTTCTAATCATTTTTCTACTGGCAGGATTTCTCTGGTCATATAGTCCCCCATATTGTCAGAAACAGAGGTTCTCCAGATGTCACTGTATCCTCTTTAAGCTACATTTGAAGTCTTAATTTGGTGTTCCAACCTTTCCCAAGACTAAGTAGTCCAGAAAATACGAAAAATAACAACTATTAAATAAAAGAGGAAATACAACAGAATCCAGTGAAATACAAAGGTGATTTATGAACTTTAAAGTCAGGATATTCGAAGTCCCGACTTACATCTTTAATTCTATCCTTCTTGGCAGTGGGGCCTTTAATTAAGTTATCCCAGAACCAAACTACAAACTTTCAAGTTAAGAAAGCATTCTTTCCCCTCCAGCACAGGAGTCCACAAAGCCCTGTGAAAGGAACCATTCCGAGTGGTGGTCAGCAGAGTAATTTTGTGTGTGCTGTCTTCACTTAGCAAGAACCAAATAACTCCTTCATTCTTAGGAATTTTCTAGTTGCCCAGTGGGACACCTGTGAGTTTTGATTAGTCCTAAGAACAGGTCAGGAGGTTGTATATATACTATATTTCTGACTGGATTTAGTCCTCTCTTCCCCAGAGACTGAAGATTCTAGGCAAGAATTTGGGAGTCCAGTCTAAGAGGCAGAAGCTATCTACTTTATTAATGAAGTGATGCTTCATCCTCTTCAGAAGCCATTGAGGCAAACATTTTTCTTATTACTCTTCATTTGTTGATCAAGAACTCATCACTTAAATGTCTGCCAACCATTCTATTTTTTTGCAGGGACCAAAGTAACAAAAAAGTGTAAGGAGGAAAAATAGTCAATTGGACAAAAATACAGCATAACAAAAAAAAAATGCACATGGATTCTCTGAGTTGGCAGAGTTTTCTGTGTGACTTGTCAGGGGTGGACAGTCCAACCAGCATGAATGTAAAGCAAGGACAGAGTGAGTGTGAGAGGACCATACTTGACACTTGCCTAATATCTAGGTGGCAATTTGTATGTGCCAAGACACAGTGAAACAGATTTTTCATTATTATCTCTATTTTATATATGAAGACACAGATCTGAGGAGGTAAAATGACTTGAGTAATAATGTAAGTTAAGGTAAAAGGTGTCTATCTGACAGCAGAGCCTATGATCTTTCTGCCACACTTGTGTCTGTCTCTAAAGTGTTCAGTACGACTTTCCACTATAATAAGATTCTAGTATTGCTGATCTGAGTGCAACACAGACATAAGAAAAAAGAGTCATTGGGGACACAGACTATTCCAAATTATTGCCATTAGCAGTTTGTCATTTCTTCTGCTGGTGCAAGTGCTGTCTGAGAAAATTAGGTATAGTAAGATGCAAGTAATCTTTTATGGAGACCTTTCTCTCTGTCTCCTTGAGGGTAATGTGTTGTAAACTCTACTGAAATTAAATCTCCTTTGGGATCGAATTGCAACAAGGCATCTCCTTATTTGATGTAGCAAAGCTTTCCCTTAGTAAGTCCACAAGAATATGAAGGTTGTAACAAAACATTAACATCTGCTTCCTTAACAAATTTTCTTAATAAAGTCATACATGCCAAATATGTTTAAGACTCATTATCACTCTTGATATAGTATGATAGAAGTTTAACCAGGAAAGGTTTTCAGCATCAGGAAGCCACAAAGGAAACGATGTCGTGGCACATACAATATCTGAACAGCCACAAGGCCAAGCAGCGGTTGATAAATGTGCCGATTACTTAGTCCTCTGCCATGAGGAAGCAATATCATTTGTTTGCTTTATGTCAACCATTCTAGAGAACCATAACCACACAGGGAACAATCAAGTGACAGTCCTGTGGCTACAGAAAGACACGGACACTGCACATGACATCCTCCTTGTGCCTGATTCATTATGCCAAAAATTTGCTCAGGCTCAAAAAGGCCAGAACCATTATGATAATTAACACGTTTCTAAGACTTAAAAACACTAAGGTGGTGGTCCTAAAATTCAATAAACTCAGTGTTTTCATTTTACATTTTGGTTTGCTTTTCCTGGGAATTTGTGTGGATGGGGAAATACTTTGCTTGTTGCAGGCAGATAGATGCATGTTTGCTCTAGGCCAGGAGATTAAGGAGAACTATTTTAGGAAGGAGCCTGTGTGACCAGGCCTGAGGGAGATAATACTGATAAGTAGAGCAGGGTCACTGATAACTTTGTGGGCAAGTGACCCTTTGGATATGCCAAGAGATGTTATCAGGGAGAAAGGGCTGAGTCATGTATATATAATTCTGGCTTACTCTAGCTGGAGTGTGGGGCAGAGGGGTAGAGATGGAAATACATAGAAACTAAAATGGAGTGACATGAGTCCAGTCAGGAGTCAAGCCTGAGCTTCTCTCAGACACATCTGTGTTCCCAGCTGACTTGGCTCACAATTTCTTTTTTGTTTGTTTGTTTGTTTGAGATGAAGTCTTGCTCTGTCGCCCAGGCTGGAGTGCAGCAGCACAATTTCAGCTCACCTCTGCCTCCTGGGTTCAAGTGATTCTCCTGCCTCAGCCTCCCAAATAGCTGGGATTACAGACATGCGCCACTATGTATTTTTAGTAGAGTTGGGGTTGCACCATGCTGGCCAGGTGGGTCTCGAACTCCTGACCTCAAGTGATCCACCCATCTTGGCCTCCCAAAGCGCTGGGATTACAGGCGTGTTGGCTCACAATTTCAATCAGGTGTCATCAACCTGCCTTACAGACACACTGTTTCAGCATGGATAGTCACATGGATATCACACTATCACATCTCAACACCCAACCAGAAAAGTGGTTCCTGCCTCTGCCCTGCTTAAGTATCAGGGAGAGTGCTGCCTTCTGAGTTCCAGCTGTGTGGTGTGTCTTCTTATTCAGATCCATGCTTTATCTTTTGGGCCTGACACTTGACACTGCCACTCTGGTTTGGACATTTTGCTTTTGCTCACAATAAAGACTTTCCTTGAAGTTGAACCCTATGTCCGATGCCCACCTTACTTTGCCTAGTCCTTGAATCCAACCTTACACTGCCTATAACAGGTTGAATAATGGTCATCCAAAGATCTCAAGTCCCACTCCTGGATTATGTTACCTTATTTAGAAAAAGAGTCTTTTCAGATGGGATTAAATGAAGGATTTTAAAATGGTGCAATTAGCCTGGATTAAGGGAGTGAGCCCCAAATGCCATCACCAAGTGTTCTCATAAGAGAGGCAAGGGAAGATGTCACAGATACACAGAAGGGGAAGCAGCAATGTCACCAGCCAGACAGAGAATGGAGTGATGCTGCCACAAGCCAAGGAATGCCTATAGCCTCAGAAGCTGGAAGAGGCAAGGAAAGATTCTCCCCTAAAGCCTTCATAGAGAGTGCAATGCTGCCAACACCTTCATTTTGAATTTCTGGCCTCCAGAACTGTGAGAGAATACCTGTTGTCTTAAGCAGTCCGGTTTGTAGTAATTTGTTACAGCAGCCCTAAAACAAACTGTATCCTAGCTCCCAAGATATATCCTCATAGATTATCAGGAGCTAGAATTCTGTTTAATTCATGTACCCCTATCTAAACAAATAACCCCTCCATTTAAAAAACAAAGACCGGAATCAATCTTCTGGTCCAAAAGAGACTGACTTGCTACATAATGGAGAAAGGAATATTTTGAGCAGCACATAATCATGATGAAGTCAACTAGATGGTATTCTATTGCAGCTATTTTCATAAAGAAATATTATTGTTTTCATCCTATGTTTCACTCTTTTGGAACTAGCTTTGCCACTCTCAATAACTTAGGAAAAACTTAAAACCAAATACTGTTTTCACACCAAATTTACATTTCTTCCACTTTAACGATTTGTTTAGGCAAATGACCTGAACTCAGGCGCAGGTTGGTGATTCCTAGGGTGGGGTGGGTATGCACCATGTAAATGCAGATTCATGCTATCCTCACTCTTTCAATTCATTTCTAAGATGTAATTATTTTCTGAGGATTCCTGAAATTGACTTTCTTGGGTTTTTCTTTCAAGTATAAAGGCATAATTGATAATGCTGTTTTTTCCTATAAATAAGAATATTCCAAAACCTAAATAAGGAGATGAGGAACAGGTATTTCAAAGGATCCTGATCTTATCTAAAATAATTGTGGACTAGTAGAGGGAACACCTACCAATTTTGGTTCTGCCACTAATCAGATGAGAGGGACTGAGTAAAATTCTTTTAACTTCTCTGGACTTCTGTCTCTGCACTTTTAAAAACTGGACTATTATGTTCGACCATGTAGCCTCGTTAAGATAATTAGATGAATTGAAATACTTTCACCTAAACACCCTTGAGAAACTGTCAAAGTCAATAGGGCCACCCAAAACTCATTCTCACCCTTTCTCACACCTGCTCCTCCCAAATTCCCTACCAACCACTAGCACTCCCATTCACTCAGTCTCCCATGTCTCACACCTGGGAAGTCTCCTTGACTTTGCCCTTTCTAACAACTTGCCACTTTTGTCCTTCAGTCAAGTTAAATTCCTTACCAAGTCTATTACTTGTCCATTCATTGAAGCATTATTCACAATACCAAGATATGGAATCAATATTAGGTGTCCATTGGTATGTGTGTATACAATTGAATACTATTCAGCCTTAAAAGAGAAGGTGATTCTGTCATTTGCAACAACATGGATGAATCTGGAGGACATTATCCTAAGTAAAATAAGCCAGGCATAGAAAGACAAGTATCACATGATTACACTTATATGTGAGATCTAAAAAAGTTGAACTCACAGAAATATAGAGTAGAATGGTGGTTGCCAGGACCCAAGGGAGAGGGTGGTAGAGAGATATTGGTGAAAGGACACAAAATTTCAGTTAGGAGGAATAAATTCAAGAGATCTATTGTACCAAGTGGTGATTATAGTTAATAATAACGTATTGCATTTTGAAACTCACTGGAGAGTAGATTTTAAGTGTTCTCACCCACAAAAAAATAAGTATGTGAGGTATTGCAGATATTAATTAGCTCAACTGAGCCATTACACAATTTATGCATATTCCAAAATATCACAGCATATGTGAGAAATATATATCATTATTATTTGTCATTAAAAAATAAAAATAGACTGGGCATGGTGGCTCACACCTGTAATCCCAACACTTTGGGAAGCTGAGGCAGGTGGATCACTTGAGGTCAGGAGTTTGAGACCAGTCTGGTCAACATGGTGAAACCCCATCTCTACTAAAAATACAAAAATTATCTGGGCCTGTGGTGCATGCCTGTAATCTCAGGTACTCAGGAGGCTGAGGCAGGAGGATCACTTGAACCTGAGAGGCGGAGCTTGCAATGAGCCAAGATCATGCGATTGCACTCCAGCCTGGGCAACACAGCAAGACTCCGTCTCAAAAACAAAACAAAATACTATCTGAATGGACTCTCCTGTGTTCAAATCCAACCACGTCATTCCCCTGCTTCATGTTCTTCCCTGGACCCTCTGTATTAGCAGGACCGAGCCAAGCAGCCCAAGGGCACCGTTTATATTTTCCCTGGCTTGCACAGTGTTTTATAATCATTTTCCATCTTAATTGCCAAGATTGAAAATTTGGAGATTTCACATACAAACCCGGATTTATGAATTTCCATGAAAAATAAAAGGGTATGGATGCAACCAGACCCTTGGATACAACCTACATGAGCTGAGAGGCAGCTCTTCTCTTTAGCAGTGGCGTGTGTTTTCCTGCTTTCCATAGTACCCACCACTCTCTCTGCTGGTTACCCAGTATGATTCACTCACTGATTTCATTTGCCTAGCATCTGATGGTATCTGAATTGTAACTGTTGGTCTACAAGATAAAGTCCAAAATTTAGCATGGACCAAAGGCCCTCAGATTCCCACCCTGGACTACTTTTCTCATCTCATCTCACCCAAATGCAACATCAAACACTTGTAGATTCCTGAACAGCACACTCTTTCAAAAAATCTCCTTGATTTTTAATATGCTTCCACTCACCACCACCTCTACCACATCTCCAATGTTATCTTCTTTGCAAACATGTGTCCTGCAAGACTCTACTTAAATGGCACTATTTTAGCGAAGCTTTATTTGGTCAGCTCAGAACATCTATTGTGCTTCCTCTTCTAATGCTACACACATTATAGAATTTATGATGTTGGTTTCCAATAATCTGTGGACATATAGTCCCTGAGAAAAGGGGACATGCTCACTGACCTTTATATCCCTAGCCTCTAGCACAGTACCTGATACATACAAGTGTTAATATGTGATGGCTAAAACAAACAAACAAAAATGTTGGAGTACTTATCCACTACTTGGCACGCAGCAAGCACTAATAAATTTGGTTTGACTTGGAGTAAATAATATTAGGTATCACAGACTAGAATTAAATATTAATGAATTTCATTTTGGATCCAATCAAAAGAGAAAGTAATAGCATCATAGTGTAGTGTCTGACTGTAGGCTCTAGAGTCAGACTTTACTGATTAAAATTCTAGCCCAGCTACTTGTCAAAATGGTTTAATTATCTGTAAATAGGAATTTTAACCTGCTTTCAAGGATATTGAGATGATTATATGACTTACAAAACACTGAGGAGCATTTGGCACACAGCATTAAACAAATTTAGCTGAGATTATTGTTATTGCAATTACCGTTATGGTTATTGTTTTGTTATATAAAGTCTTCTTCATCAAGATGTCTCCCTTATGTAGCCACTCCACAGACTGGACCTATAGAAGAGCACTGCAGTGAGACAGCTATATTCCCAGGTCTTCTATATCACTTACATAAGGTAAAAAATATATTTTTTCAGACAAGTCATAAAGCCTTCATTTCCCACAGATAGGTATTTGAAGAAAGTCCTCCTTTCATTCAGTTCCAATTTAGTCCTATATAAATACATGTAATGGAAGAAAGGCTATTCTAAAACAACAATAAAATACCATCTACCTATAACATATAAATATGTATATTCTTTTATTTTTTCTTTTTTTGAGACTGAGTCTCCCTCTGTTGCCCAGGCTGGAGTGAAAGGTGCAATCTCGACTCACTGCAACCTCCGCCTTCCCAGTTCAAGTGATTCTCCTGCCTCAGCCTCCCAAGTAGCTGGAATTACAGGCACCCACCACTATGCCCGGCTAATTTTTGTATTTTTAGTAGAGACAGTGTTTCGCCATGTTGGCCAGGCTGGTCTCGAACTCCTGACCTCAGCTGATCCACCCGCTTCAGCCTCCCAAAATGCTAGGATTACAGGCATGAGCCACTGTACCTGGCCTAAATATGTATATCCTTAATAAGGACATAACTTTCAAGGGTGAAAGGAGACATATAATTTTTACCTTGAAGGTAAAGGTATAAATTTATATAATGGGTTTAGTCAATATATATACAAAGAACTTTATAAATACTCTTTGACTAAACAATCCTAATATTCTTCATCTTTTTTAAGGAGATAATTTTAACAAAGAAAAAAACCTTTATGCATAAAAATGCTCATCTCAGAATACTTGTAGTATCTAATTGGTAAGAACCTGTCTAAAACTAGAATAATAAATAAATAATAACACAGATATATGCTAGAACAGTGAGGAAATAGTAAAATTATGTTCACAAAGTTGTTTAACAACATGAGAAAGTTATTAAGTAAAAATGCATAATGTAATTTTATATGAATAAACTAATCCCCAATATTAAGAGGGAAAAACTGAAAGGAAATTAACACTTCTTTCTTAATAGGCACTAGAACTACAGCATTTTCCTAGGTTTACAAAATTCTCTTTCTGCACATAGTTACTAAACATTTCAACTTTATGACCTATGCATTCAGAATTAGACAAAAAGTTACATTAAATTGACAGGTACATTGTTTATCAAAGATCAAAGTTTGAAAAACTCAGTTCTAATCTGAACTGGATGGCTGTATAGTGAGATATAGTTATTTCTTGCTGAGCTTCAGCACAGATATCAGACATGAAGTACACAACAATGTTTTAGGTGGAATAGTCTTCCATTTGTCAATAAATGAAGGTATATCATAAAAAAACTATCAGGGCCTTGGAACTTGACTAAATAAAAATTGCTTACAAGAGAGGAGAATGGTCCAATGGGCTAGATTCCACTGCTGAAGATGAAGAAAGATGCTTGGCAAACAGTTTCCAAAATGCTACAGCTTTATATCAACTGAGACTAGGGAATCAACAACTGCGACTTAGAAATGCAAAAGTGAATTTGTATACCTTGGATAAGCTGAAGAATAACTTCCAGGGGACAATAATAATAGATTTCCTGCTAAACAAATCATGACACCTTTGTACATAGCATTGAAAAGTGTACCGTGAAAGGCAAAAAAAGGAAATCTCACAGGTCAAGAAATCCTTGTATAGAGAAAAAGTAACTGCCTTAGCTAACAGTGAGCAAAGGAGTCACTAATAATAACACGATAGCATGACTACTAATATATTAGTCATTATTTGACAGCCCATGGGGGCCTCACCTATTTCTCCAAACACAATATACATAGTCATTTTAGCCTTTTCAATCACACACTACTCTGTCTCGAGAGCTTTGCTTAAGTACCCCATTCATCCTTCTCCTGCCATGCAAATGTTGTGCTTTGTTTATATATCATTCTTTGTTGTCTTAGTGCACAGTCCTTTGGCTACGGGTACTAACCCCTTCCCTGATGATCACACTTGTTCCTCCCACGAAAATTCTTATTCCAAGCAGCACCTGTGCAGTCAGGTACAGTGTGTGTCCTCACGGTGGCGGTAAGCCAACCCATTGTCGGTGCCCTCCCAAAACAGACCTGGCAATTCGGTTGCGGCGCCTCAGCTTTCCTTTCACCCTACTCTGAATGTAATATCTCTTCATGTGTGATTACACTGAAATATAAGATATTGGCCTTTATAAACACCTAAGAAACTGTTAAGTGTCTTAAGTATGCAGGTTAGTACATATTGGGTAATACAGATGACCCTTGGACAACACAGGTTTGAACTGCACGGATCCACTTATGCATGGGTTTTCTCCCGCCTCTGCCACCCCTGAGACAGCAAGACCAACCCCTTCTTTCTGCTCCCCCCTCAGCCTATTCAATGTGAAGATACTGAAAATGAAAACCTTTATGATAATCCACTTCTACTTAATGAATAGTAAATATATTTTATCTTCCTTAGGATTTTCTTAATAACATTTTTTTCCTCTAGCTTACTTTATATTAACAGTAAGAATACAGTATATAATACATATAATATATAAAATATATGTTAGTGATTGTTTGTTATTGGTAAGGCTTCCAGTCAATGGTAGGCTAGTAATACAGTATTTGGGGACTCCAAGTAATACAACGTGGTTGTCCTGACACCGTTCCTGCGTAGGAACCTAATCCCTGCATTGTTCAAGAGTTAACTGTAATTGCTAATATTAAGTGAGTATTTATTACGTGTTGAGATTTTATATGGATCATTTCCCGACTTGGGGCAGCCTGGTGCCAGGGCCAAAACTCTTGACACTCATTTTATATTATCTTCTAATGACTGCCTTCCTGATTGCAAGATTCTCTAATACTTCGCTAGGAGCTCTTTGCCATCCCTCTCTATAAAGTTCTTTACTCACTTACTCTTTCTGGTGGGTCCCTTGTCTAAAAAAAAATCCTTAAAAATCAAGGCTATAAAAGGGTTTGAGGCAAGATAAATAGGCAAAATCCGATTTCTCCATGAAAAGAGTCTAGGATTTTCATCAAGAACACAGTGATTCTGGGAACTACAGATTTGTATTAACTCTGCTGAGAAACGGGATTTTAAGGTAGGTATAAACAATTAACTATAGGGTTTCAAGAGATTACCATTAGGAGGAAGCATATCAGCTTCCTCATAGGGGACAAATGTACTAGTGAATTTGAATAGTTAAAAGAGAGTGAAAAGAAAAAAAAAAAAAGAAAATAGAGGTCCCTACTGCTCAATGTCTGTTATGACCCTCAATGTGTTATGTTGGCCACCTACGTAATAGGTAGAGTTTCAACTAGAAGGAGAAACTTTAAAAGGAAATATGAGCATGCAGAAACTCAAAAGATTAAAAGTGGGCAAGGGTTCACGGAAAACGCATTGTGTCATTTGGGTATTAGGATTCAAAGAAGATAGTTTCAGATAATGCATACCATAAAAGTATACTCTAAAGAAAGAAGGTCTCGCATTTTTCATTTATTCATTCAAAATAAAGAGTCCTCTATATTACTGCTTGGCACACTAGCAATGTATAAAAATCCTCTAGAGAATTGGCTTAGGAGTTCTGCATTCCTGAGACTACAGGTGATGCTGATGCTTCCTGAACTCATCTTCAGTAGCAAAATTCTACATTCTATAACCGCTTGAGAACACTACCATATGTGTTAAGTCCTGGGAAGAGAAAGCAAGGCCAGGCCTCAATGAGAAGTGGGGAACAGGATCTGAAAAGAGCCCCACGACAGCTCCTGTCTCAGCAAGCACTCCTCCTGTCCAGCATTTCTAACTCTCAACTGTTTTGAGTACTTCTAGAGCTTTTTACATGGCTATAAAAATGGGCTACTGGCAAATGCATCAAAGTCCCCTTCTACAGCAGCAGAATAGATGTTTAAAAGGAATTTACTTTTTGTTTCCTCAAACCTTAAATAGCAATGTTTGTTAAAGTTTTATCTGTTTCTAATTTGACCTTTTAAAAAATAAAGGATATAGAGTTGGTTCCCACAGAAATTTAGCTTTCATGCATGACATAAATATACATATGTAACTTATATGTGTATATTTATATATACATATATTTAAAATATATATTATGTATAAAAACTTACATATAATACATATTCAAATTGCACTGTACTGATTTCAGAAAAAGAACAGTAAACCACTAGCTGTGCTTAGATCTCAGGTTCCAGGACATTACATTTAACCCCAGACCCCCAGAGCTTTTTTTTTTTGAGATGGAGTCTCACTCTGTCACCAGGCTGGAGTGCAGTGATGCAATCTTGGCTCACTGCAAGCTCCGCCTCCCAGGTTCATGTCATTCTCCTGCCTCAGCCTCCCCAGCAGCTGGGACTACAGGCGCACGCTGCCACGCCGTTAATTTTTTGTATTTTTAGTACAGAAGGGGTTTCACCACGTTAGCCAGGATGGTCTCAATCTCCTGACCTTGTCATCTGCCCGCCTTGGCCTCCCAAAGCCCCAGACTTTCTTAATAAGAGACAGAAATGACCAAGAATGCCACATAGACACAAATAGGGTCAGATGTGGCAATGGTCATTTGCAATATTCTCCTACTTGATAGTTCCCCCATGTGAAGAAATTCCTCTTGTATGTTTTATTTTCTCCGATTAAGGGAACAGTATAGGCAATCATGTGCTCATTTTTTTTGCCTTAATTTAGAGTTAAGTCCAGTTCTCAAATGATCTCATACCAGGCCTTGGTCCTTAGCATAAATATCTTTTCATTTTCTTCACATGATGTCTGGTCTCATTTTTTCTGATCTTAATTGTATTGCTCTGTTTCACATGTGTTTCTTATAAACTGCCTTGAATCCTTTTGAGAAACAGACAGGAAATACACAAATATTGATCCATTTGTTGATTCAACCAGCAGTTTCCAAGGGCCTGCTAGGTGGTAGGAACTGGTGATAGAGGTGAACGAGATCCCATATTATGAAGATGCAGACAGTAAGCAGACAATTATGATGTATAGTGGTTAAGGGCTGAATATCTTCAATATGTGTCTGAATTAATGGGATATAGTATGAAAAACAAGTAACTCTAGTGTTTCCTGGAAAGTCATACTTTTGTTTTTTTCACCAAAAAGTCTTAAAAACAAATTAGAGATTTCCTGTGGTTTCGTGATTTAATTCAAAGTCAGAATCACAAGTAGGAGTCCATTAGAAGGAATTAGTAGCAGAAGCTGTTCCAGTTAAGTCAAAGTAAACCTCATTCTTCTTTAGAGAACTGGGACTTCAAGGAGACAGAATATTCCAGAGGCTAAGCAGTCATCTGCTGCATTATCGGTTGAGGAATTCGTGCATTTTGTATATTTCTGGAAATAGACGCAAAAAAGAAAGAAAAAGCCGCAGCCCCTACACCCGCTGGAAAGGGGAAAGATACGGAGAAAGAGAAGAACACTGCTAAACACCACTAGAGTGGGCACAGAAGCAGCCACTCCCACAGCCATCATCTGCTTTCAAACCCGTGTCAACTGCTGAGGAAACTCAAATCGGAGAAGTCAAGTCAGTTTCAAAGGTCACAAGGAAATGGTGGGACCAAGATTCTAGTTCCTTTACCTCCTGCTAAAATTGGAGATTGTGTATACAGAGCCAGCTGAGTGCCTAAGGTCCAGCCTCACATAAATGCATCTCGTGTGCTTATGAAATAGTATGACCTCCAGTTTCACAAAGCACAAAGCTTTGGAAGCACTTTGTCATTTTAGTTAAGTAGAAGTTTCAATAGTCCTGTAAAAAATGTTCATGAAAACTCTGCCAGTTTGCTTTCTGTATTTGGACTCCAAGCTAGCTGATCTCGGAAGCAAATTACTTACACAGCACTATTGGTAGATTCATTTCAGATGGCAAACATAACTTGAGAGTACAGATGTTGTTTATGATTTATAGGGTTTATAAATAATGTTATCAGATTGAAGGATATCGCTTCAATGTGTCACACAGACATTTTATTGACCAAGAAAATAGAAATACTTCACCGCAAAGGGGCAATTTGAAAAGATATGATAAGACAACAGAAGTAGCAATATGGTAATTCAGCTTAGAGAAGAAACAGATAGGTATTGAACATTATATTAAAATGTATTTCCCAAAATATGTATAACTATTATGTATCAGTAAAAAATAATAAAATAAAGCTATAGTGGACAAACCATGAGGTTTTAGAAGGCTCACTCCATTTTCTGTCTGAGCCAAATGTGATTTGAAAACAGCCAGTGGAGAAGCAAAAAAGTCCATTTTCATGCAACTGGCTTGACTGCTTTTTGGAATTGACTATATTTGGTCTAAAACTGACTGTTTTCTCATTGAATGAGCCAACATTCCCAAGGAGCATTTAAATGAACTATATCGTCACAGCATGGGAATGGCTGAGCACTGCACCAAGGTCTATTTTCACTTGATTATATGTGTATTTATTATGTAAAAATAGAGCAAAATATGACTCTGCCAAGAGACTCCCCTACATTATAGTATAAGCGTGAGCAAGGATTTCTTTAAATTGAAGAGCTGTATGCTTGCTTTGTTTTCACAGCTGTCAGCCTTTTTTTATGCTGAAAAATTTTCCCCAATTGGTTGTTATTCATCATACTTATTATTTAGGAGAGTTGACTGGTAGCAAAATGTGCTTGTTGGCAACTCCAAAAGAGGAGGTCCTCTACCCTGTCAATTTGTGGTGGACGAAATCATTCAAAGACGTTAAAAAAAAAAAATTACTGGGAGAATGGTCCAAACACAGGCCAGCTTTCCTCATATTTAAATGGATAGGTTTTCTTCCTTTGGTTGAAGGTTTCTATAAGAACTTCTTTCATCTGGGACCAGAATATATGGATGCAATACGAAAATCTCCTATGAAAGGACATTCTTGAAATGTGTCCAACTCTAAAAGTCTCATTGGGAATCATATTTTCAACTTCAAGCTATGTAAAATGAAGTTTCAAAGCTACCATCCCTTCACAGATTGTACACATATGCATAAACAGAGATAGAAGAAACTTTATCTCCACTGTAGCAACTGCAAACTAGAAGACATATTCCTCAGAGGCAAAGAATGTCCATCCTAAAACAGGAACAGAATGAAGCCACTTAAGAAAATGGTCAATTATGGAATGTTCTGTGCATAAGTATGTCCATTAATTAAGAAATGAACTGAAATTACTAATGGATTTCATAATGGCCACCAACCAGCTGCCAGTTGGCTGTAGCTTGGTGACAGATGGTAGTGACTGATCTGGACTAGATTTGACCTAGAGATAGTCCATCATTTATTAAATTGCAGTCCCAAATAAAATTCCATGCATTGCAGCATTTCACCATTATGTCTCACAGTGAGATCCTCTGAGAGCATTCCTTATCTGCCGCCACTGTTGCAGACAGCAAACTATTCAAAAGGCTTAAATATAACACTCAGTAAAGAAAGTTCATAATAACTCTCAGGAGATGAAAAAAAATGCAACTTGAATGACTGTCACTTGAATGAGGCATAGTATAAAATGGCAGCTCTGTTTCATGCTAATCTGGTTACCTCCCAGCATTGATATTTACACCTTCCCCTCCTTTAAAAAAAAGAAAAATCAAGGGGGTTCTCATTTACACAGCAACAGGCAGATAGTGGACTGTTTGGGTTCTGCTTTAATCCATCAACACATTCTCAAAGTGAAGAGAGCTGCTACAGACTGGCTCCAGAACCTGCTTACTTAAGGCTTTTGCATGAACAGGTCACTGGAGTGGGCACATCAAAAGTTCCAATTACCATGACCAGACTCTGTTTCCTCAATGTTTGAGTATTTCAAAAAATTAACCTTATGTGCTTTTGGAAGATAAGTTTCATAAAACCAGGAAAAATAACCTGACTCTTACAAATCCAGGTAGAACCTAGAAATATAAAGAAAAAATACAGCTCAGTGTTTTAAAATCTTCCATGTAACATGCTGTAAAGCTTTCTTCATGTTGTCAAAACACCGTGCATCTTTTAGTCTCATTCAAAGATGATACGTAAGGGATGCATTTTATTACAAAATATATACATTCAAGGAGCAAAAACATGACACAGAGTGGCATCTGGCCATCTAAAGGCTATTATTTTACTTATTTCTAAGAGACAGAACACTGTTATTAGTAAACTTCATATTTAACACATTACACTAATCTTATTCTTAAAAACTTCTTGTTTCAGCTGGAAAGAGTCTGACTAATACTGTAGTCATTCTTTCTCATACATGTCCACTGAAGGGCCCCAAATAGTAGAGAGGAGTGAACAGAGATTCCATATACATTTTGGGGAAGAGTCTACAGAGGCCTCACCATGAATAAAATGTCTTTGTATTCTCATGCTTCATTCTAAAACTGTTCAAATTTTGCATTTGATATACAGCATCTCCATTCTTCTCTGGATTAAAATGTTTAAAATTGTTCCATTATGTAAAAGTAATCCAAGATGCGGCATTTTTATGCCATATCTTTGTGAACCCCTCCATGTCCCCTTGTACCTCTTAACATTTACGTGCCTTTTGACAAATACAGATCTAACACAAATTCCTTGGTTAATAGATAAGAATACTCAGGACCAAGGAGTTTGTGACTTAACCAAGGTCATGTGACTCTAAAATCACATGAGGTTAAGTGACTTACCCAAGGTCTGGCAGTGGGGGGACTAGAATCTAGGTTTATGACTTGTACCAGAATTGCATGTGCTCCCAGCCTGGTGTGCTGCCTCACGCCTGTAATCCCAGCACTTTGGGAGGCCGAGGCAGGTGGATCACTTGAGGTTAGGAGATCGAGACCAGCCTGGCCAACATGATCTCTACTAAAAATACAAAAATTAGCCGGGCGTAGTGGCAGACACCTGTAATCCCAGCTACTCAGGAGGCTGAGGCAGGAGAATTGCTTGAACCCAGGAAGTGGAGGTTGCAGTGAACCGAGATCGTGCCACTGCATGCCAGCCTGGTGACAGTGAGACTCTGTCTCAAAAACAAAACAAAACAGAATTGTGTGTGCTCTGCCTACTAAGTGACGTCTCACCTAAGCTCTCCGCACTCCTGTCTTTTCCCTTATGCACCTTTATTTCAGCAGCTTCATTGCTTCTCACCTCATCTCGCCCAACAGATTCTCATCTTCACCCCAGTTCTCCCTCTGTGTGGAACCACTTCTCAACCTCATTCTGCTTTCCATTTTTCTGTTGTGGGCTTTTGCCTGGTTTTCAGTTCTGAAAATCTTTTTCCTGGTTTTCAGTTTTGCTCTTCCTAAGTTGGTGGCTTGCAGAAGTCCCACAGGTTTTAAGGTCCCCTGGCATGTGGCTCTCCGGGGCTGGCTCCAGCTAGGTATAATGCCAAAGAATCCAATGTGGGAACAACAAGCTCAACTGAAAGTCCCTGAGGGAGACCATGGTCAGGGGTGGAAAGCTGATGTGATGCATACACCAGCAGCTAGGAAAGCAGGAGATTTAAAGAATAATCACAATACATTAGAGATGATTAGAGCCTGGAACAGAATGTGAAAAAGATTAGGATACAGAGGACTGAGGAACAGGGAAAGGAAAAGAATGGCCAGACAGTTTCAGAAAGAACAGCATGTGCAAAGGCCTATATACCAGAAAGCAGGACACAGTCAATGCCCTGAAGGATCAAAGGGGTTTCATAGAAAAGATGAGCCCAGGGAGAATGGCAGGTGCCAGATCACATATGGCTCCATAAGCTATGTCGGGGCATCGGGCTTTATCTTAAGGACAATGAAGAGATATGAAAAAGTTTAGACATAGAATAACATGATGAAATTTGTATTTTAGGAATGTTACATAAGAAATTTCCAAATTGGCCTTAATTCCTTAGGGAACCATATTCAGTTACCTTTTTTAAGTGGTCTACTTTCATACTGGCTTTTAAATTTTTATATCATATAGTCTGTGGGAAAAGATTATAAATAAATATTTGTATAGTATCTGATATATAAGAATTTGTTCCCAGAGTTTGTGGCAATAGTGTGGACACTGGCTCAGACACAAGTATGTGGAATCCATTTCAATAAGTATTATTTAAAATATTAAAAGTGCTTTTTCTGAAAAAAAGTCAATGCAAAATCATTTTTAAATGTTTACATATACACCTAAATCTCCAAACTGCTGGTAGTAATATTAAATGGAAGGTCAAAAGCTATTTTGCTCCCTTTTTATTGGACTATTATTAAACAGTCAGAAAGCCTAGCAGTTCATTTATCAGACAAAAAAAATGTATAAATGTTTGACAAATAAGCCATAGCCAAAATGTTATGACTTTATTTGAATTACATTATATAGACAAAGCATGCCAATCCATCAGCCTCAAGTTACTGCCCTGTTACCTATGGAAACAGTAAGATATTTTCCTCGTTACTTAATAATACCAAATCTCAAATAAGTATCACAACATGAAAAACAGATGTTAAAATGTGACACTCAGGGTCAGCTTACACTGCATACTTGTTCATTTTTAAGTCCCGGGTTTCTTCTCAAACATTGTTTCTGAAATTTTTCACAAGATTTTGTTGGATTTGGTTGCAGAGGTTAGAGTCTTAATACACATATGAGACACAAATAGAAAACTGATTTGTTATTAATCAACACAGCAATAAAATGGGAGATGCTAGTTTTTATATCAGAATGCTTATTGCTTTGCATGAAATATGATTTGATACAAATGACCAAAATCAAGAGCACAGTTTCTATTTTTATTCCAAAAGCACTTTCATTTGTATTCTCCCTTTACTGTGTCAATCTTATCAGTTTATTAAAGACATATCTTTCATTTAAAATAGAAAATAACTTTTCATTATTGTGCTATTATAGATAATTTTTAAAAACTAAAATATGTGAATAAAGAAGAAGAGGAGAATATACTTCTCATTATGTACCATTTTCAGTAACTACCTCTAATATAAATTTAGTTCCAAATATTTTTTTCTATGTATTTATATCTATATATCTATAACTATGTCTATGGATATTTTCTTAGAAAAAATCCTGGAACCAAACGATGCAGTGAAGATCTTCCCATGCCAATTACTATTCATCTACAGCGTTATTTGTAAATATCAAGGGCAGTGCCCTGACATAGATATGCTATAATTTATTCAACTAATCACTGATTTCTGTGCGTTTAAATTGTTCCCAATATTTCAGTTTTATAAATATTGAGACAGCCAAATGCCTACACAGATAAAAAGGGGTCCCCAGAGAATCTCCAACCTTCCCCACAAGTGTTTACATCAGAAGCTTTTGTGCAAATGAGGGAACCTGCCCAGGGCTTGTCTGGGCATGCCCACAGTGGACTGGAGCCCGACATGTGCCCTGGGGGAAATGGGTGGGGCCACGGGGAGTTCACGCCTTGTGCACGGGAGGAGCTTGCTGTCTTCAGCTCCTGTGGTGACCTGGGATTCAATCTGTGAGTCAGAAAAGCTGCTAGCAGGGCTCTCTCTTGCTTTGGTTCGTTTTCCTTTTTCCCCTTCGCCCAATAAATTCCATTTTCCTCACCCTTCTATGTGTCCGCGAGCCTAATCTTTCCTGGTCGTGTGACAAGAGCCTGCTTTTAGCTGAACTAAGGAGAAAGTTCTGCAACAATATTATCGCAGTGAACAAATATGTAGCTTAATCTTTCTATGTATTCTTGATTATTTCCTCAGCATACATTCAAGAAATAAATTTTGTGTCAAAAGGGTGCATATTTTAAACTTTCTGGTATATAACTGCTAAAATATTGTATAAAATTACATTCCCAGTAGAGGTGAGCAGATGACATTTTTCTATCATATTGGTTTTTTTTTCTAGTTTTCTACTATACTTTGTTGATCCCAAAAGGCACATTTTTCTTTCGCATTTTAACATCTTTAAAATCTAGTTATATATTACAATTCATGGTATATCACAGTTAGACTAGTGGCATTTTTTCTTTCTCATTGATACTTATAATGTTGCATCATTCAATCCATATCTGAAATCTATAAAATATATTATCTGCGTTTATATACTGTGGTTGTGTTTAGTAGATACAGAGAAGTTTTAGTATTTACATAGTGAGCTGCTTTCTTCATTGGCTTCATGTCCATGATTTCTCTGATTTTCTGTGATAAACGCTTACCTTAGTTTTCTATTATTATATATTAAATTGAAATATTTAATAAAAGTAATCTCAAAAATTACTCTTTTCACAAATGATTAGCCAATTACCCTAGTGATATTTATTGAATAGTTCTTTTGTGCTCACATATTTAAAGCTTATTCTATTTAAATATTACTAATCCCTTTAAACACAACAAGCATTTAATAGATAACCATTGATTCATTAATTAAATTTGTTAAACAGAAGTAGACTTTGGAATGAGTTAAAGTTTTGAAGTAACTGTTTGGACCTTCTGCAGAGATGACAGTTGTACAGGTTAAACATCAATCAGCCATTTGGGCTCCCTGACTTATTACTGCTCAGTCACATTATATGTAATAGGATCCAGCAAATTGAAACCTAGTATTTCTTCACTGCTGATGACCACTCTTCTGACCTGATGGAATCAGGGAGGAAGGAGGATTGTGCAGGGCAGGAAAACCTCCCTGCTTCAGTATTCAACAGAATTCCACAGGAATTTACTGGCAGCTCACCAGGGTCAAGCAATATGTTAAAGTCAGGAACATGTTCCCCACCCAGCTCATCAATTGAGTTCACAAGTTCCTCTTATAATGCCCAAATCCAGCAATACACTCACCTACCACTTAATAAGCGGCTTGTCTGTGCTTAGCACTAAAGACAGGAGAGAAATAGGAAAATGTCTCTGACTTCAGAACGCCAGCTAGTGAGGAAGAAAGATAAGTCAATAACAAGCGCTACAAAATGCAATCCTTACTTTCCTGATGGAGAGGAGGGTGCAACAGGAGAACAAAGAAGAAAACTATGGTCCAAGAGGAAACAGGGGAGGGCGAAAAACCACAGGAAAGTGGTATGTGAAGAATCACTTGGCTGATACAGAGTTGGGGGTACAGGGACTGGGAACAGCTTAACAAGCATATGGCAGGAGATGTGAGGGAGGATGTCAAAAGACAAGTCTGGGAAAACAGAAAAGGAATCAGAAGATAGGAAGAGGAGGTGGAATCCGGACTCAGCAACTGATTGAATATGCAGGTAAAGACAGGGAGAAGTCTGGGATGATTCTTCCTTTTGTAGCTTTTATGTTTGGTAGATGCTCGTGCCCATCCACTGAGATAGAAAACACATGAGGGGGGGCAAAGGTAAGCTCAGTTTTAGACACATTGAGCTCTTTTGTTTGTTTGTTTTATGGAAAATGAGGGCAACTGATGGATGGAGCATGCTTTGGGTGACATTCCTTCCATCCTGTAGTGGAAGACACTGGGTTCCTGAAGGGAGGGAGATGGGATTGGATGCCAGGGAACAGGAGATGGGACTTTAAGAAGACAGCGGAGGCAGGCTAGATGTTCTTCTGCAATTGTATAGATGAGGTCACAGCAGCAAAACTTCCCATCCCACCCCGCATCAATACCTTTGCTGTGTTTGCTGCACTGACCATAACTGCTCATTCCCTGTTGTGTAACTGAAATGAATAGATCGTTCAAGAATGCCCTATCTGTACAAATTTGGTCTATTTTAAGAACAAAGGAGAGAGTTTATTTTTTTTTATGTTTCAGTGGAATTAAAAGTGTGATTTTTATAATCCAAGTCACACCCTTACAATTTTTTTTTTCCATACACAACCTTAACTCCTGGCAAGTGGAAGGCAGAGAAGCCACATTCACTCTGTGTACTGACCTGTGATTTGCCGCTGAGTTTTAGGAACATGATAGAACTTCAGTATGAATTACATATTTCTACATTTAAACAGGGTCAGAAGTGGCACTACCCAGTGTGGGAGTTTAGACTGATTAATTGCCTTCACGGAAGGAGAAAAGTATGGCTAGGAACTGTGCAAGTATTATTGTTTCATCCACATATTATTTCCATGTATTCTCTTGTACAGTTTGACTTGGCTAGCATGCAAGAAGTTTCTAGCTTTTCCAGGGTATTACAATCAGCTTTAAAAATGTCTAGAGTTAAATTTGCTTCTGAGAAAAACTATTTGTGACTTAATTGATAAAAGCCAGTGTGAACTCTATTATTGAAGACCTATGCAGTTATGTAATAATTTCCTTAAATAATGGAGAAGATCTTAAAAAAGAAAAACAAATAAAACCCACACAAGCACATGGTTTTCATTTGGGGAGTAAGGGCTGGAGAGAGGCTCTGCTCTGAGGTTAACTTCATGGCTTCAGGCAAAACTAGGAGATTTAAACAGAAACTACAGCAGAACCATAGCTCTCTTTTTAGGGACACTTAAATAAGTATATGACAAATCTCAGAGAATCTTTTGAATTTGGGTGGGGGATGAGTAGTTATGTTCCTTTTGTTTCTATTTTTTTGATTTGTTTTCTTTTTTTGTTTGTTTTTTTGAGAGAGTCTGGCTCTGTCCCCCAGGCTAGAACGCAGAGGCACAATCTCTGCTAAATGCAACCCGCCTCCTGAGTTCAAGCAATTCTCCTGCCTCAGCCTCCCAAGTAGCTGAGATTACAGGCGCTCACCAACACACCTGGCTAATTTTTGTATTTTTAGTAGAGACAGGGTTTCATCATGTTGGGCAGGCTGGTCTCAGGCTCCTAACCTCAAGTGATCCTCCTGCCTTGGCCTCCCAAAGTGCTGGGATTACAGGCATGAGCCACTGCACCCGGCCTTGTTTTGTTTTCAATGATTAATATTAGCTAATTAATGTTCTCATGGAAACTGACATAAAGTTTAAAATGTTTCTTAATTTAATAACTTCAGATGGTTTTCTACATGGGAAATGGAAGTTAGATACCAAATGATGTCCCCTAATGTGGTTAAAATGCCTCTTTTCCAAAAGGGTTAAGAGAATATGGAGAAAAGTTTATGCATGATGTGATGGGGAGCATTGGGAGAGGGACAGGAGAGGGTAGGGACTGGAGAGAAACAGAAGGAATAATCCAAACAATTTTCTACACAACTGATAATTCCCAGACAAACACTCAAATTGACCACAGCTAGATGTGTAAGTGCAGAGAAGGATTTGCACATGCTACAGAATATGAAGATGGAATTACATCCACCTCTGTTGTGGTTAAGGCCCAAAGGTTAAACACAAATTTACAGGTGGCTGTGATTCTAGAATGCCTTGGTAGGACTTGCAAGGCAGTGGTGAAAACTGGTTTTTAACCCTTAATTCAACATCTACCTAATAGGTATAAAATTATTGGAATACAGTGGCATTTCTTGTGATAACACCCTGACCATGGATGTACAAAGGAACTGCTTCTTCCTGCCCTCAAGCTTAATCAAAGAGGCCTGCAGAAGATAACCAAGAAAAGATGGGAGGGTTATCATACCTACAGGACTTAGAAGGGGCTAAGGAAATGCTCGGAGGCCAGGCACAGGAGAGGCACTGTCTGAGCCCAGAGCCCTGCAGGAGGACTTTCTGAGTGGAAGAAGAACAAAACTGCCCTTTCTGGGAGAGGGTCAGCCTGCAGCAGTCTCCACCCCAGAGAAGGTCTACACCAGACTACACAGTGCCAGTCAGGGGAGGCTTCTCCTGTCCTTGCATCTACTCTGCTGTGTCCCTTTCCTGACAGGTAACTGGGGCCAGGGGTGCAGGACAAGTGAGGAAACGGAACAGAAGCCAACCGCACCCCCTCCTCCTCCCTTCATTAAAGACCTCTGAATTGAAGTGGGCCATTGATGGAAAAAAATAGAGGCTTTCATTCTAAAGTAGTTCAGAGATTTTGCTATTCCACCATGTGAATGTAAGAAATACATTTTAGACAAGTCTTGTGACTGAAAGGGATGTGGAAGACGTTTTACTATCAAGTCACTGAAAAAGTTCTGGGATGGGCCCAAGGTCCAGAGGCAGTAAAATCTAAAGGTTTCAAAAGAATAAAATAATGGCAGCGCACTCTGAAGTCTGCTCCCTAAGTTTAACTCTATGGAGATGTGAGGCCTGCATGTGCCAAAGGGCCCCCTGTGGCCTCAGGTAAGAGACTCCATCCTCTTCTGAGGTATATTCAGAGGCTGAATGTTGAAATGTTGGATTCGACATCCCTTTCTGGAAAGATAGCAATTAACTGGTAGTTCTAAGAAATACTTTAAAAGAAACAAATATATTTCCATTTTATTTGGCCAGCATTTCAAGTAAAAGCTGCATACTCAAGACAAATTTTATATAATCCTAAACTCTTTTTCTCTACAGAGGCAATCAGTAGTTTTCCTTCCATACTGCATTATGTTCCAGGAGGTTTGCACAACATCCCATAACAAATTATGGTGAAAAATCAACTTTCATGTGAAACATATAATGTGAGATATATGCTGCTTTCCAGTTCTGCCTGATGCAACAACACAATATGCTTTATTTGGCTAGAAAATACAGCTGAATCTGTTCTTATAGAATTACTTGTGGTTAAGAGGAGGTAGGTTATATTTTTCTATCAGATCTCACCTATCAACTTCTCTGTTAGCGTTGCTCCTTTAACAAACACCATTCCTAAAAGTTACAAGATGAATGTTTAGTAATCCATACAAATAATTTGAATATTCAGACATGGATCTATCATTCATAACCCCTATTTACCAAGCAAAGAAGCTGCAGTCTACATACTATAGAAGGCAACAAAGTCAAAGTCAGTTTCAAGTGCCAGCTGTTATGGCTGGGCCGCCTTCTAAGTCAGCTAGGCTTGCGGAGCCGCAGTTTCCTCATCTTTGATGCGGACCTCACTTCCAGAGCCATGGGAAGAACTGAATGAGAGTGAGGATGTGAACACCTCTGCCACGCTGTTAAGTGCTACCTAAGCGCAGGCCAGTCATCCAGTCATCCTGTTCTGTACATGTCAAGGCATGAGCCACTCCAGGGAACTCAAAGACCCATGAGACTGGATACTGTGCTCAGAGTTTACAAACCTAAAATCTAGTTGAAGATACACAGAAACATTTTATCAATGACTTCAAATATAAACAGAATTCACAAAACAGTATAAATTCAATGAGTGACTCCAACAGTTAGTGATAAGGTTCCATAGGGAGCAGCGAACTCTGCGGGCAGCAGCGCTGAAGTTTCAAAAGATGGAGGAATGGAGGTCTATGGGGAGGACTGGATAGGAAAGAGAAATGGGTATGGCAGTTTTTAATACAGAAGTTGCAAACTAACGTCTCCATTATCAAATTTCACAACAAAATCCTGATTTCCAGCTTTTCTTTTTCTTTCTTTTTTTTTAGATAGAGTCTTGCTCTGTCACACAGGCTGGAGTACAGTGGTGGGATCTCGGCTCACTGCAACCTCTGCCTCAAGTGATTCTCCTGCTTCAGCCTCCCAAGCAGCTGGGACTACAGGTGTGCGCCACCATGCCCACCTAATTTTTGTATTTTTAGTACAGACAGGGTTTCACCATATTGGCCAGGCAGGTCTCGAATTCCTGACCTTGTGATCCACCCACCTCAGCGTCCCAAAGTGCTGGGATTACAGGCATGGGCCACCGCGCCCAGCCTCCAGCTTTTCTTTTAACACCAGGGGCTGGGTCGGAGTTGCTCTCTGAAGAAAAGTTGTCCTCTCTTGGGCAGCGCAGTGGTCACTTCTCCTGAGTTTCTCACACCCGTTGGCCTTCACTTACTGCTGTTCCCTGCCCAGCCCTGGTAGGCATTTGAGATTGCTCATCTCTGATTTAGAAGTTTCATTAACCTTGTTAAACAGTGCTCCAGACCTAAGTGTATATCAACCAACTCAGGCAACGACACTGTACTCCCAATTCCTTCCTTTACCCCAGTCCACTGGCAGCAGCTTATCCTGTAACACCTTAACGGCTGCATTTCACACTCTAAACACAGAGAACATACAGGCAAACCTTGAGTTTATTTTAGATGGCATCTTTTCAAATAAAAACTCCTCAAGGTAATTTTCTTAAATTAAGATCCCATGGGAAAAAATAAATTAACCAATAATAAAACCTCTGATGAGCCCTGGGGTTGATCTTTCAGTAAGTGGATAATTATTTGCTGGGCTCTCCACTCAAATAAAATTATCTAGTTGTAGCATCTCTTTTTTTCCTAGACTAGTTATTAATGTGATTATAAAGTTTTTCTCATTTGTTTTTCTTTAGGTATGATTTTAGAAATCTCTCTCTCTCCTGCTTGCACACACACAGACACACACATCTTTAAAACTACCCTTTTTATGAAGATCTAGAGGAGTGAGAATGAAGGAGGAGGAAGTGGATGAAAAACTCCAAAGATAAGTTCTCTGGGGTAAAACATTAACAGCCTTACCACCCTCAGTGCCCCTTACTCACCATCTATAAAACAGAGGCTGGGGTTGTATCTATATTATTTCCACAAACTGAGATGGATCACAAATAATTTGTTCCTAATACTTGTAGAATAAAAATTTACAAATGGCTTCTCAGTAAGTAAAAGCAACTTCAAGGTTGTGTCTGTAGAAATGTATCTCCTCTGTGTTGCGTTCTACAGCATTTTCTAGAATGAGAGAGAAAGAGGTGGTCCGCCGTATAGTTAACATGCAGAGAATGTTTCATAACCCAGAGATAGATGCAGTCAGTACAGTGAAGACTGGGAATTTTGAAAAGAGGAGCAATATCTAGGAATTCTTTTTTAGGAAGTTAGCTGGGTGCTGTCCCTAGTTTATGTACAGCCCTGTCCTTTCCTCAAGAAAATTTCAGTAAAGATCTATGTTGCTTCCAATGCTGTTTAGGGTAAAATTTGTGTTTCTTTTGTCTGAGAATGTCTTCAAGGCAATCTTCAGTATGCTATAACCAGTGGTTCTTGAAGTTGGTTCCTAACCCCTGACTAGCAGCAGCAGCACCTGGGAATTTATTGAAATTAATCTTTGAGCTTCACCCCAGATCTGTCAGAAATTCCGGCAGTGAAGCCCCACAATATGTATGTAGTTTAAGTCACCCTCCAAGTGATTCTGAAACTGAAGTTTGAGAACTGCGGTTATCACCTATAGTGAGTAACCACTACGGAGAAACCATCTGTAGTAGAGGCTGTTGGTGCCACCCATTCAGATCTTCCTGACCAGCCAATGCACTTGTACTCTGGCTGCTTGGAGGAATACAGCTGAGGAAACGTTTACACCTGTGTCCTTCTCCAGTTACTTCTCCATGCTAGGCAGAACAAGGAGAGATGCCTGGGAAGCCACCTACCCACAACCCTGGGTTGGCAATGACATAAGGTTCTTAAGCCTGAACTCCTTGCAGGGCAATACAGCCCTGTGAGCCTGGGGACCAGACCAAGGCTAGACTTTGCCTAAGACCATATCCTTGTAGATCCTCCTCCTTTTCTATCTTGCTCTCCTCACTCTCTTACAGGATTTTCCTAAAGACTGCTCCCTCATTAAATCCTGTGCACATGAATCCACTTTCTAGGGAAATAGGCTAAGACATGACTAATTGTTGTGTAATTACTTACGAAACTTTTCTTAGCGTGATAATGGATGGGGCTAGTTATTGTTTGGTGGGGAAGAGTTAACACATGTGGGAATACCCATAGGAGTCTTATCAAAAGGGCATCAAACAACATTGTGTGCTCTTGCACTGCTAAAATAAAGGTTGAAAACTGGTGGATCACATGATCCCTAGTGACTCTTCTAAAATTTATGTCATCATAATTCCTGACAGTGAATAAGAGATACTTATTGTACAATTTTGTGATAGGAAGTTCCAAGAGAGGCAAGTACTCATGTTTACTAACAAAATAATTCATTGAACAAATGTTTACTGCTCCTCTATGTTCTAGGCACTGGGACCTCTATGGTAAACTCTACAGGCAAAGCCTCTACCCTCAAGGAACTTCCATCTTGATGACAGAGACTGGCAATAAACAGATGAATACATGTAATCTGATATAGAGAGGTGAGAAATACTATGGACCAGAAGAAAGAAGCGGAAGGGAATAGAGCATGATAACTGGGGGTGGGGGTTGGGGAGTGCATTGAAGAGGTGATATTTGAGCAAGCAGTGACTGCAGTAAGGAAAGCTATGAGGATATCTAGAGTGCTCAGGCGGAAGCAACAGCAAGTATAAAGACCTGAGGCAGGGGTTTGCTCAGCAAGGGAGTCAGTGGCAGGAGATGAGTTCAGGATGTAGCCAGGCCCCTGATCACATAGGTGCTTGCAGGTCCCATATTCACAAGAAGAACATGATGTGATCGGAAGGCCTCCAAGGGCTCTGAGCAGGTGGTGGCATGATTGAGCTAATGTAGATAGGGCAAGAGAAGCAGGGACCACAGATAAAAGGAGAGAGCAGTAGGCTAGGTGAGAATGAAACAAACACTAACGGCTTCCAGAAAAGTTTATTGACCTATTCCTTTACTTCCTTCATCCACTAAGAGCTCTGACAGGCCCTGCAGGATGTACACACTCTACATACTCAATGCAATTCTCCTTTCCTTTTTGCTTTATCACAACCTGGAATGAAGGGCATCAAGTCTCAGACATCCAGACTGAGGTAAGTATAGGACACCATTAAAGCACAGAGTACCCAGGAAGTGTTTCAGTCCTGGTACCCAATGTTGACGTTAGTACTGAAATACTTCAATAGTACTAATATATCTCTCTGCTTCCTGTCACTTTAAATGGTGCTGTGGAGACATGGCAAGTATCCTTGAGACCACATTCTATTCCTGAAGCTGAAAGGTGAGGAATGACTTATCTCTATTTCATTTTATTCAAAGTATATAAATATTATTAAATAATACCACAAAGAAAGATTGTATATCATTTCTGCTAACAGCTAAAAATCTGTAATTCATTTCTTCTCCCAAAGCTCCTATTCATTGCTAAAATTTTATTGTATTTTCTAAATGCACAGAAAAAGATATTTCCATTATGATTTATATTACAACCAAGTTTTAACAAAAGAAGTCAATTCTTTGGTAAGAAACAAAAATCCACCAGATCTACTTAGAAACAATATTTAAGGCTTACATCCATGGAGATTCCTTTTTTAAATGAAATTCAATTTTCCCATTTGTAAGTTTCCTGATGTTGATGGTTGTGGTATATGTGCCTGTGGTCAAGTGGTTTAGGGAAAGTGGGTTATTGGAAGATTGTAGGTGCTGGTTTTAAAATTAAACCTGAATCTTTCACATGCCTTAAGGATCATATCCAAAAAACATTTGTGTTCCATAGGACCAAAGGTACTATCTCACCACTAAAATGCAAAGAGCCAGAAGTCTATTTATACATTCTCCATGATTTGTTTCCCAGATTTAGCTTTCTACAAGCACTTCCTTCAGGGAAACACACACTTTTCCTCTCTTGCAGCCCAATTTCCTGTAGGAGTGCCTCTTTAGGAAATGATAATCACAGCATCATTCTTGTGTTATATGATGACAACTTAGAAGAAAAACACGCATATACATTCATTCAAAACACCTTCCGAAACAAATGAGGATGAAGCAAAGAAAGGAGACGAAGAAAACGTTCTCTTTGCCCAAACAGTTCTGCCTTTTTAAAAAAAAAAAAAAAAAGTAGATTTTGCAGCATTTTCTTAGCTTACACTGAAAATTCAAATCTATACCCCTCATTTAAAGGCAGGTTCTTCTTTTAGTGTTAGGTGTAAATTCATGTAATCTGAGTCACTATTCGAGTTCAGTCCAAACAGTTCTACCTTGGGCAATTATAGGATATCCAGGTATCCGAGGAAGCTGCTAGGACATGCTAACACAGAGATGCTCTTGTTCCAAGAGTGAGGGTGGACAATGAGGGTGGGTAGTTCTCTACTTAGCCGAACTGTGTCATGACCACAATCTTTGTGAAGACTCTTTTAAGGAGCAGGACTGCTCATCCTGAGCAAAGTGAGAGTCTGGGAACTATGCTCAGAAGAAAAGAAAAAAGGAGGCAGCCAGATTATATAACCTAGCCTTCTAAATGCAAAGCCAGCACACAAAGCTATCTCAAAATTTTTTGTCAATGCTATGGTTTCTTCTAGATCCAGACTCAGCAAGGTCTCTAGAGATAGCTGCTCGCTGGAAGTGGTGCTGGGAACAAGGCTGGCTGTCCCCACACCAGAGCAGCCTCTAGAAAGTTGCTGAATGGATGTTACTGCCCACCAAAGAAGCCACTGCCATGAGAAACATCACCCAGAGAGGAAGATGTTTCCACTTATTATAATCAAGTCCATGCTCTAACCTCACAATGACCACATTTCCCAAATTCGAAGACTCTTATCATGCTGACTTTTCTCTTCTTTTTTTTGAGACAGAGTCTCGCTCTGTCGCTCAGGTTGGAGTGCAGTGCCACAATCTTGGCTCACTGCAACCTCTGCCTCCTGGGTTCAAACGATTCTCCTGCCTAGCCACCCGAGTAGATGGGACTACAGGTGTGCACCACCACTCCCGGCTAATTTTTGTATTTTTAGTAGAGACAGGGTTTTGCCATGTTGGCCAGGCTGGTCTCGAACTCCTGGCCTCAAGTGATCCACCTGCCTCGGCCTCCCAAAGTATTGGGATTACAGGCATGAGCCACTGCGCCCAGCCACTCCATAATGACTTTTCCAGAAGGATAAGAATCACTATCATGATTGAAGACACATACTGATATAAATGTCTTTAAATATAAATTAAAATATATGTACCATAGAATAAAGGAAATGCTGTATTATTAGAAATATTAATGATCATATAAATACTAGACAATGCTGAGCCCTTCCTAGGCCATATATTTAAAGGTATGATCTCATGTAGTCTTCATAAAAATCACATGCCTCTGAAGCAGATAGAGTTTTTCTCATTTTATAGATGATGGACACTAAGGCCAAAGAAAAATTAAGGAAATTAAGAAAAGTGAGGGAACCCGGTTTTATGGCTCTGAACTCATGCCCTTTGTACCACACCAGTCCCCTCTGAGTTTCTGAGATATGCCACCATGGAAAGGAGCCGCCAGGGTGCAGAAGATGGTGCTGTTTTCCCTGTTGTCCCAGTAAAATCCAGGGATAAATGTCAAGGAAAAAGGCAATAATTTGGCACCAGCAGCACAGTTAAGTGGTCCGAGACCTTGCTTCAAGCTCTATAGCTTCTGATGGCATAAAAATTAAATATTACTTCTGGCATGACCCAAATTTTAGGATGAAATGTAGTGGATCAGAAGGAGCAATGGCTCTGGGGTCTGAAAGATATAGGATTTGTAATAGTGTTATGCTGGGATAAAAGGGTGAAATTTCTAGTCAGTGTCAAAAATGGGATTTGTAAAACAAATGGTGCTGAGAAAATTGGAAATTAGAAAATAGAATCACTGCTTCTCAATAACACCAAAATAAATTCCAGATGAACCAAAAAATTGTGAATAAAAATCAAAGCATAAAGATCTTTGTGGTAATGGAACAGTTTTACCTCTTGATTGTGGTGTTCATTATCTAAATCTACCTGGGATGAAATGGCATGACATAATACATATACATTATACCAATGTCAATTTCTGGTTTTGATATTGCACTATAATTATGTAAGACATTACCATTGGGTACACAGGACTTCTCCACATGATTTTTGCAACTTCCTGCAAACCTATAATTATCTCAAAAATAAAAACTCAAAATAAATTTTAAATAAAAGCATAAAAGAAATAGAATGAAGTAAAAAACAGCTGAACTTGGTGTGGGCAAGGAAGAATCCTTTTTTAAAAAAGAACTGATAAACGACTATAAAAATTGAAAATTTCTGAATGTACAAAAATATAAAATTAAAAGGCAAATATTAAGATTTTTCAGCATATCTGACAAATGAGGAGTCAGAAGTCTTAATATGTCATTTACATAGTGGTTGAAAGTGTGAACAGACAGCTTGGCCAAAAACCATGACTCCACTACTTCATAGCTACACGGCTTTGAGAAAGTTTCCTCACTGAGTTTCAGCTTTACCGTCTGTGAAACGAGGATAGCAGTACCTTCTTCAATGAATTGTTCTGTGGGTAAATAAGTTAATATGATGTAACGTAAAGCCCTTAGAAGAGTATCTGGAACACAGTGTTAGTTGGGTTAGTTGTTGTCATCGTTGTTATTCTTATTATAATTCAATACAAAAACGACAAAACCTTCCCTAACATCAGGCTCTCAGGTATGTGGAAGCTGGCTGGGGAAAACTCATCCTTGGACAGATTGCCCTGTGCCAAGCTGTAACATAATGATACCCTCATGCTGGGTCAGGTCTGGCCATTGACCCTGACAGCTGATAATCCATGTTATGCTATGTGACCTCTACCCCTGTGGTCACCTGTTAGCTGGAACTCCTTGCTCTTTCCAATACCCCTACCTCCCTGACTACTCACCCCCACCTCCCTTCTAATATGGGTCTTATTGTCCACTTGGTTAGGTAATGGCGTGCTTGTAAGAGCCCCCTTGTGACAGCATCTGGTGTTGTCATCTGCATACTCCCACAGATTACTGCTGATAATCCTCACAAAATCCTTGTGGGTAGATATCCCCACTTACAGATGAAGAGAAGTGAACTCAGTAAAGTCAGTGACTTTCCCAAGATCACACAGCCAGCAAGTAATAGTTCCTATTCTCAAAGCCAATTTTTCTGAATTAAAAGCCAAGGCTGCAAGTTTCCAGAGTGATGGGAAACTCCCATATTATGGGCATCATCTAAACTAAGAGATTCACAATAAGAATCTCTAGGGCTCTAGAGGGAGCTTTTGGACACCTTGTTGTCAGGACAAGTTTTACTTTTCTCTTCTTGATTCTCGTCAGTGTTCCAGAAAGGAGGATCCACCGTACAAGTCTCCTCCGGTCAGGTCAGCTGCTCCTATAGTTAGACCACGCTAGGCATGAGCACACATTGCTTTTGTCAGACCTTTAGTGGCTTTAGAGCTCCTTCTCTTCGAATGGACTGGAGGCTCATAGAACATGGGGACCACATGTTGCTATTATTTGGTATCCACTCACAACAATTAACACAGTGGTCTGTACTTTCTAATCCTTGGCCCCCAAACTTGAAGCACTGCATGAAGAAGGCAGAGATAGCCCATGTTTCTGTTTGAGAAGGTCTTGTATATATGCCCATCTTTGACCATCTGGGATTATAAGTATAGAAACTTGAGTATCAATATCAGGAAATGTATTTGATTTATTGCTAGCTCTTAAAAATCACTATTCACTGTGAATGTGGGCAAGTGATTAAGCTTTACTGGATCTCTTTTCCCACACTGTGAAAGGAGTTTATCACTTTTCAGCAAAACTACTCTAAAAGATAGTACCTCCAATCTTCCAGTCTCCAAAGAAGTTTGAGTATGTATATATAGAGAGGTTAGAGGAGGTGACCTTCACAAAGGACTCAAGAATCACATTCTGTGGGGATGCTGTGGGTCAATTCAGAGCTTCACCTGTGCTGAGATCTCCAGGAAAAATCTGTTCAAAAGAACCATGGTCAATCGGACCCTGGCAAGGACCCCGACCACCACCTATAAAGAGGACAGGCTGTCGAGACCAGCCTGACCAACATGGAGAAACCCCATCTTTACTAAAAATACAAAATTAGCCGGGCATGGTGGCACACGCCTGTGATCCCAGCTACTCGGGAGGCTGAGGCAGGAGAATCACTTGAACCCGAGAGGCGGAGTTTGCAGTGAGCTGAGATCGCGCCCTGGCACTCCAGCCTGGGCAACAAGAGTGAGACTCTGTCTCAAAAAAAAAAAAAAAAAAAAGCTAGGCTGAAACACACACAGACACAGAAGGCAAATTTCTCCTGTTATAACAGTCCATGTAGATAGCATTTAGATGCTTTTCCTTGGAATAACAAAGGTGAGGCAGGACTGGTATAACAGTTCTGTCACATATAAAAACAGAACCCAAATATTCTTGCACGCTTTGTGGGCTGATTTGAGAGTTACGTAGTTTTGGGCTATAAAAGAATTCCATGTTTAGCTGTGGTTATAGGTGAGGGGCCCATGGGATGAGAAACTAGCCCAGGAAATGCATTTCAGTGATCTTTCATTGAGCTGGAAATCCTGCACTGACACTTGCAGGACATTAAAAGAACACCTTGTTACATAGTTCTCTCAACCCCCAAAACATGGAGCCGACTCATATTGATGGATCACTATGAAACTGAAAGTAGCTTTACAGTAGGTCGACCCCTAAAGCAGAGAAGCTTAAAGTGAAGTGGACTCAATGCTTTTAAAATGCACATAAATCTAACATACCAATACCATATGCTCAAAACATCATTGCTGAGCACACGAAGGAGGAAAAGGCAGATGGATGCCCATAGTCCAAGAAGCAGAGAAGGTAATTTGTGGCTGTTAGAGGTAATGAATAATGATTTAACTTGGTTTTCTTGACTTTGGTATTTTTTACAGAAAAAGTCACATGAAAATGTGTATTTTTCACTCTATTATTTCCCTCACCTGGAACAGTGCCAAGTTTCTTTCACATTAGGAGAAATCCTTTGACACAGTGAGAGGTTAGAAACTAGATTTTAAATTTCTTTTAAACTTGTTCTAGCAGCTGGCCTGCCCATCCAGTACAAATTGTGAGATTTGGAAGAAGTTTGATCATTGGTAACTATCTCTCTATCACCACTTAGATAATCTGAGGAAGGTCTGGCTGCCTTCAAACACCCTGCCTCAGGCAGAGTTCAGGTTTTTGGTGGCTTTGAGGGTTATTTTAGGAAGGTAATCTTTGGCGGGGCTTACAGAAAAGGCTAATGACAAAGTGAGAGTTGAATCCTGTGATGATGTAACCCAGGTGGATTGCGCAGTAATCTGTGAGTTTCTTATGCATTTCTACAGCTTTCCTTTGACATATGTGTGACAGCAAAGGGACAGAACCATGGCCTTGGAGCAAACCAGGGTCTCCTAATCTGAGGCTAAGTTTTTAGAGCATATCTCTCCTTCACTCACTGTCTGGCTCTAGGCCACATAAGAACTTCTTCCCCAACTCAGTTTCCTTAGTTGAAAGTAGGAGGAAGCCCCCACGTACCTACTTCACAGAGCTTTCCAGTGAAGTTTAGCAATTGGGGATGGCAGAGCATGTTACAATTTTAGAACTGCTCTAGAGATTCAACAGTGAAAATACACTAGCTAATTAAACAAAATTTGGTAGAAAGGAGAATTGGAAATTCACCTTCTATCAGTGCCCGAATGGCTGTGGATGAACAATTCCTTTAACTACTATGTATTTCTCTAGTTCCCACATAAACTCTGTCATTTCCCATGGGATCGCCTGGAAAATACTATGCATATACCCAGCATATCATCGTTTGTTGGGACACCTAGCAGCTACCTCTGAAAGGAGAGGGCTGGTCCTGGAAGCAGCCAGATGGCCCTGAAGAGGTAGCTTTGGTCCTCAGGCCTCCCAGTGCTGTAGGAGCGAAGCTGACGCCCACAGGGCCTCTGAACACTGGAATGGCGGATGAGCTCAGCTCTCTGAAGTGGCTGCCGTGGCTGAGATAGGAGTGCCCTGCCACACACACTTCCTAGAGGACAAGTTCAGCCAAAGCCACATTAAAAGATGGTTGCTTAATGTTGGCAGAACTTTTTAGGAGGCATCAAATGAGAGTGTGTGGGAGGGGGAGTGGGCATCAGTGTCATAAAATGACGAAGCCCAACAAACGTTTCCTGTCTTCACATTTAAAATCTCTGGAGGGGGAGGAAGCCAGCCTCAGAGGCCTGGGGCTTTCCTGAAGAAACTATAAAAGGAAAGAATGATAAAAGGAGCCAGGGTTTCAGCAGGACCACTACCAAGCAAAACAAAGAGCAGAGGAAAGAAGATCCCCTCTCAACTCCAACCCTTGCTTGTAATTTTCAGAATGGATTGGCTACAGGAAGCTACTTACAAGAGAGGGGAGGTTTGGTTTTGGTTCTGCGGTGGCTCTTCTCTCCTCAGTGAGTGACTGTGGGTCGCATCTAGTCTCCTCTTACTCCCACAATATAGATACATTTAAGAAGTCAAACAAGAATCAGTGGCTGCTTTTTGCACCACACACCGCCTACTGGCCTCTAACAAAATACACTACCTGCTCAGAAAGTATCCCTTGCCACCTGAACTCATGCTGTTGGAAATTAGGAAAAGAACAGGTTTGAACAGCAGCTGATACTTAGATATAAAACCACCGACATGGTCAATAAATATGTTTCTTCATTTTCCAGGACAGGGAAAAGTCATGCAGCATTTCCTCTGACATTTGTCAATTTTCAGTCACAACAAAAATACAAATAATTGATTTGAAAGCAGAGCAAATGAAATATTGTTCAAAATAAACAGCGTTGTTGCCCTATTTCTTTCTGGTTTCCAAGTCACTCAAACAAGAGTATATTGGGGAGGTTTCCCACTACAGAGTCCATGAATAAATTCAATGCTTAGATTTCTCATTTCATGATCACTTAAATCTTACAATGTAAGATTTCATGCAAGCAAGGCCTGGACAGACCCATGTCTTAGGAAGAAGCTAAGTTCTCCTGAATGCTTGAGGGATCTCCAGTCCTAAGATGGGACTGGAGATGTAAAGGCAGGCCCACTCAGTTAATGTATGCTCCACTGCACAATTTAAAACACAGGGTGTAAGGCAGTTTTTCAAAGAGGTTCCAAGCATCTTAAGAGTCCCAGAAATTGTATTTGACTCATGAAATTTAGAATTCTCCACCCACACTTATCAATGTCATCTTCCTCCTTGTCCTTGTTCCACCCTCCTCTGTAAATCAAGAGACACATGCAGCTGCCTACAGCAACCAAAAGATTTCTCCAATAAAGCAAATTCTACTAAAAGGGGAAAAAAGTTTCAGGAAGGCTCACAGAGATTAAGGGTTAAACCAAATAGCCTGGGTTCTGATTCTGATGCTGCCAACAATGAAATAATTAATGGCATTTATTTATTTTTTAACTTATTTTATACTTTATTTTATTTTTTTGAGATGGAGTCTCGCTCTGTCACCCAGGCTGGAGTGTAGTGGCTCACTGCAGCCTCCACCTCCCGGGTTCAAGCAATCCTCGTGCCTCAGCCTCCTGAGTAGCTGGGATTACAGATGTGCACCACCAGGCTCGGCTCATTTTTGTATTTTTAGTAGAGATGAGGTTTCACCGTATTGACCAGGCTGGTCTTGAACTCCTGGCCTCAAGCGATCCGCCCACCTCAGCCTCCCAAAGTGCTGGGATTACAGGCGTAAGCCACTGTGAGGGGCCTTAACAGCATTTAAACACCCTTTATATATTTCAAATTCATTAGCATTATGCAATTCATTCAACCTTTACAACATACCTCTGCAGGACACGGGGAGACTCATCACCCTTAGTTTACAAATGAGCAAGCCAACTCTAGGGTGGGTCTGTATAACCTGGCAGCATTCTCACTCAGTGTCCACTGCCATGTGGCCTGAGCTCCCTTTCTTCTCACGTCCCCACCTTGTCCCATCTGCACACACAAACCTACTCGCTCTCCACCTCTGTGCCCCTTAGCAGCTTGTTTCAACATACTGTGAGCTGCATCCCAGTTATTGATATATTTCTCAGTGTCCCCAAAGGCTAGAAACCTCACTGAGGGCAAGCATCACAGGAGCCCCATCTTTGATAGCCTGAGGACATGTTGCCATATCTTGAATGCAGTATGTGCTCCATAAATATTTGGCACATTGAACCAAACTGCATTAATCTCATATGAAATCGAAAACCAGGTGAATTCTGTGCCTCCCCCACCCTGTAACCTCTTGTTCCCAACCCTGACTCCCACCTATCAAAACCTACTCCCAGATCTTTCAAACACATAAAAGACTGTGTGATTGATAGAAACTTAAAATGTTACTCATCACAGTAGGTAATAAACTTGAATCTAAATGGATGTGGCTCTAATTTCTGGTATAGCCCGAAAGTCTTGGAATGATCTGGGAATGTCAGGGCCTTTTCAGCAGACCAGAAATCACATTTAGAACCCACTGGCCCTTGAGCCTATACCAAAATCGCAGGCATCCACAGTCACCCACCTCACTTCTCATCTATGAGTTGAAAAGTATGAGTCATAAACTGTTGGAAGTATTTTTAACTCACGAATTATGTGGATAGTAAAATGTAATGCTTCAACCCTAACTGGATACGAAGCCCAATCTTAGCAACCAATTAGACAAGGCTGACTTTGAAATCAAAGCAAATGACCAAAAGAAAAAAGTAAGCTATTTCAATAGACTGTGTTGATAGCCTGATATGTGTAAGTTGAGGCATCAGTGTAGTCTCCACAGCAAATGACAGGGTGTGGTCGCTTCTTCCTCTTGGATGCTGACCACAAGAGGATGTCTAACCCTAAGGGAGACAGCATCCTGAACTTGCTCTCTGCCCTGAGCCTGCACTCCAGTTACACAGGGTGAGGATTCTGCATTCCACCCTTGAAGAGTCCTGCAAGTCAGGGCAAGCCCCCTGTCCCTAGCAGCCTCCGTCTTTTTGAGTTACACTTTGGGCCACTAAGTCTGGCCCTGCCTACCTCTTCTGGCCTCACCCTCCCTAACCCCTCTAAGAGCCTGGATTGAGGCCACCTGAGACATTCACCTGCATTATGCAGATTACATAGATACCACCTTTACCTCTCCAAAGGCCTTCACATTGCTGTCACCTGGCCATGCCAGCCACTTGCAGGCTGCCATCTTACCATCTCTCCTCCATCTCCAGGACTTGCTTGTGCTATACTTTGCCTGCAGTGCCCATCTGAGCATCCCACTCATCCTTCAAGATTCAGCTCATTAACCTGGAAAGCCTTGACTGACTCTACCTGTCAGAATGTCTTCCTCTCTGTTTTCGAAAAATCTTGAGCACATATCAAGCACAGCATGTATCACATCAAATTGGAATGTCTGTTAACTTCTCTGCTGGGTATTCTCAAAGGTCCTGCACGTGGCTGGCACATTGCGAGCACTGAGGGGGAAAAGGCTTGTTGGCTGTCTGACTAGCTGAATGATTGAGCAATAAGGTGTAGTATGAGCCATCATCTCAGACCACGGTGAAGGAAAGGCCACAAATCTTTGAGATGTCCCTGTTCTCCAGTAGCTAACACACTGCCTGCTTGGGGCATGTTACCAGGTAGTTAAATGAAACTGAATCACACAATTCTCATCTTGACCATCTTTATTCATTCAGCCATCAACTTTTTTGAGATGGAGTCTCATTCTGTCACCCAGGCTGGAGTGCAGTGGCATGACCTTGGCTCACTGCAACCTCCGCCTCCCGGGTTCAAGTGAGTCTCCTGCCTCAGCCTCCTGAGTAGCTGGAATTACAGGCTCCTGCCACAACAATTGGCTAATTTTTGTTATTTTTTTAGTAGAGATGGGGTTTCACCACGTTGGCCAGGCTGGTCTCGAACTCCTGACCTCAAGTGATCCACCCACTTCAGCCTCCCAAAGTGCTGGGATTACAGGCATGAGCCACTGCACCTGGCCCAGCCATCAATTATTGAGCATCTACTACATACCTTCATTTCACTGGGCACTGTGAAAGCAATAAACCAGGTAAGTCAAGAGTCTAGAGTCTAAAGAAATAATAGACTTATAAACAGAAAAGAGTCATAGAGATCGGAATAAAATGCCAAGTACTTTTTGTAGGCAAGATGGGGAAGATTTAAACAGGGAGTTGAGTTTCAAGTAAGATTTTGAATAAGTATATGAATACACACTTTTTTGAGCCTTTTTGCTGTGTGTGTGTGTTACGTGTGAGTGTGTGTGTGTGCAATTGCTATCCGCTACTACCATACTATGCACAAAGTACCGCAGTGCAAATATTTATGCAAATGTTAATTACACACTAATTACACACTATAATCTAAAACTTCTCTTGGTTATTTTCTGCCAACACAATGTCCTTTGGCAGGTCTTTACCATTTTGGTTGTTTCTGGGTGACAGCTGTTTTCATATTCCACAGACCCTAGTTTGCCTTCCCTAGGCTGCTTACTCTCCTGAGTCCTGGAAATCTCTCGTGTTAATTATTATTTTTTCCAGCTGCAGTCATTGTAAACTGTAGTGTGCTTTCCCCTCATAGTAATAAATATTCATGTATTTATGAAGTAATGAAGAAAATGTCGCTGAGCATGAAAGAGTTGATGTCAACAGTCAGGAGAGAAAGAGACACAGAGTTAAAATCTACTAACATTCTCAAACATTCCTAGTGGCTCAACTGCTTCGGATGGAAGAGGCTGAAACTTGGAGTTTGGAGGTTCTGATAATGACTACAGGATGGGCAGGAAAACAAAGATATAAATTTGGCTAGTTTTGGCTTTGGGTGTCATTTCCATTTCATGACAGCACAGGGGTGAGAAGCATTTTGGAGCTTCTTCATATTATTTATTTATCCCTTGGAGACTGGCATAGTCTACTCACCCCAAACATAAGATGGGGCCTGGGTAGTGATGACTGGAGTTGCAGGCTGCACAGCTCCATTAGGAAATGAAAGTTTGCTTGCAGTAGGGTCTCCTAATCTGGACTTTTATGCCAAGCCTCTGACCTCAGACCTCCATTAAAAGGCATCTCCTGGCTCAGAAATGGCTAGGATAACGGCACAGGTATCAGTTTCCTTTTCTACAATTCGTGACTGATGGGTGACTGAGGATTAATGTAAAATCAGTTTAAGAGTGCTTTGAAATATTAACAGATAGTTGCTGGACATGGGTGCATACAGGTGTGCACACACAGTATACATGGCAGATGTCCACTAGACATATGCTATTAGACAGAAACGGGAAAAGAACTGTAGGATGGGTTGGTGGTATACAGTAGTAAGTAGACAAGCATTTTCTAATCAGAAAAGCCTTGTAGAACTAACTCTGCCATTTAGGACCTTAGAAAAGCTACTCAACCTCTCCAGACCTCAGTTTCATCATCTCCTTAACATAATGGTTCTTAACTCCATGAAGTTCCCTCCTCCAGGGACATCTGATAAGTCTGGAGACATTCTGATTGTCACAAACTAGAGTGAAGGGGTTCCTACCGGCATCTAGTGAGTAGAGGACAGGGAAACTGATAAACATCCTATAGTGCACAAGACAGCCCCCATAACGATTATTCTTAACCCAAAATGTCAGTAGTGCCAACACTAAAAAATTCTGTCTTAATGGAATACTAATAATTGTACCTGTCTGAAAAAAAGCCTTTGTAGCTCTCAGTAATATTTGCTATTGTAGTTATGATCATTGCCATTACGTTATCACATCCTGAAAAAGAACTCACATTAAAATTACAATATATTTCTAGGGATTGAATATTAAATTCTCCAAGAAACATGTTTGTATTTTAATAAGGGTTTGGGCTGGGCGCAGACTCATGTCTGTAATCCCAACACTTTGGGAGGCCGAGGCAGGCAGATCACTTGAGCCCATGAGCTCGAGACCAGCCTGGGCAACATGGCAAAACCTCATCTCTACAAAAAATACAAAAATTAGCCAGGCATGGTGGCACGTGCCTGTGGTCCCAGCTATGCAGGAGTCTGAGGTGGGAGGATCGCTTGAGCCCAGGGAGTCAAAGCTGCAGTGAGCCATGATCGCACCACTGCACTCCAGCATGAGCAGCAGAGACCCTGTCTCAAAATAAATAAATAAATAAATAAATAAATAAATAAATAAATAAATAAATAAAAATAAGGGTTTAGGTAGATAACATTAATGAAATAAATGATTAAAATGGTGAAAGTCTAAGGCATCTTAAGGCAATTCAGTATCTGGGCTATTTGGGTGCAGATGGCAATTGTAATACCCCTCAACAATGCCCCATAAGCACTCATCCTAAAAACAAGATTTACATCATAAAACAAAGGGGATAGCTGCACAAATGTGTCTGCTCTTCAAGCCAAAGTGACTACAGCTGAGCAGGTCACCAAGTGATACTGGTCTATCCAATCCCCCCAAAACATCTCTAGCCACTTGGTGTAAATTCTTTCAGTACTTCTAGAAGAAAGGTAGTCATTTCATCTCAGAAAGTTCAGAGCCATTTCCTAGCCATGATGTCTTTTTAAAAGAGGGATCTGACTACTGATGGCAAGAATTGTTTTATATCTTCTTCAGTTTGTTTAACAGGAAACAAACTGTTGAAAAGAGGACAAATTTGTATCTTTCTCATTGACTTAACCAGGGGCAAGGCTCTATTTAGCAACCAGCAAGAACAATGTAGAAATTGTTCACTAACAACGTGAATCACTTTCAGACAATCCCCACAAAATCTGGGATAAGTTAGGTGGAAGAGAGATAAATGATAGTATGTGGAAAATGTTATTTATGAATGTTAATAAAAATTTCTGCTGCAAAGGAAATACTAGAGACAAAACTGAAAAGGCTCGACATCAAGAATAAAGCTTATTCCAAGCTGATTCTGAGATGCAAAGAAGCTAAGGGCCAGCTCATTAAGTGCCAAGTTCAAGAAAGGGATGGCAGCCCAGAGCTATAGCTGGAGAAGTTCCTCTCCTCAGGGTTTTGCCAGGAGCCTGCTCACATGCTTTGCAAACCATCACAGTTATGTTAGGGCAGACCTGACATCCTTGCTGAACTTTCTCCATGTCAGCTTTTCGCACAACGGAAACAAGTTGGTAGGTTTAGGACTAAAGGCAATCTTCCTCATTCACACTTGGGGCCTTTGACAGAAACTTTCAAAACGGAAAACGAAAATAGAAGCCAGTCAAAATCAAGATCTCAAGTTTTACAACATCTAGAGATCCCTTTTAAGGACAATAGCTGATAAAACCAGAATAAACTTGAACTTCAGTGAAAATGCACTACAAGAAATATCTAGATACACATTGGCTGTGCAATGGATCCTGACATCTTTAATTTGTTTGATCTGTGGGAATGTTTTCCAAAAGAATGGTGAGAACACAGCAGGACGTTTTTCTGAGGGCGGGACAGTGTTTTGTGAGGTTGAAATGAAATTGTTTTAAATTAGTGATTGAAAGAAGTGTCTTCCCGTAGAACTTTCCCAGGTCATGGAAATAGCAAATATTTTAATTGTGTTCATGTAACTGGATTAGGGAAGAAATAAATACCAGCTAATGCACCAGTGAGGTAAGGTGAGCTTCCAAAATTCTAATACTGAGGAATACGCTGAACATCAGGTTGAAATAAAAAGTCAGGCTTTCTTGACTGGCTGATATTTATTTCATGATTATATCTTTTAGCAAATATGTCCAGGTGATTCATGCTCCTTCAGAGGCAGTATAGCACAGTAGCCAAATAGTGTTATCTCTGAAGCCTAAAAGCCTGGGTTCAAATCCCAGCTCTGAAACTAGTCATGTGACTTTAGGAAACTTACTTAACCTCTCTGGCCCTCAGCTTCTTCATCTGTTAAATGGGGATAATGATGGCACTACCTTATATGGTTACCGTTTCAAAAATTCAATGCATGAATGCATGTAAAGCATTTGGAATAGCACCTGAAAGTGTGCTATTAATTCTAGGTCTCATCTCATCTGCACACAGGCCCTGTGAGTTAAGTACCATCCATCATTCTCATCCACAAATAAGGAAAGGGAGGCTTTGCTAGGTCAATTAACTTGTCCAAGTTCACACAGCTCATAAGTGGTAGAGCCAGTACTTGAAAAACTTCTATCACGAGTTAAAGCCCAGGCTCATAATCACTCACAAAATAATGTACTGGGGGAAATGACTGTGAAGAGAAGAGTTGGTCTATTGTACTGCAGGAAACAATGGCTACTAGGGCGGAGATAAGGCACATTCTTAGTTTAAGAAGTAGCTCCTGATGACCCTCCAGGAGACATTCACAACTCCTTTCCTCTCTCCAAAGCCCGTATAGTAGAGATGAAGTAATATGATTTCAAAGATGACCCCTACTAGCTCAGTCAAACTAAACTTCCCTTAAACAGGTCATTTTCCTGACACTTAGCACAAAGCATGAATATCTCAAAGCTATTCTTCTTCCCCTTACTCAACCAATTCTCAAGAATGTGTCACTCTCATCACAACTGTGTGTCTCATTGGTAGAATGGGACCATGAACCCATTTCAGCTGGCTTCTAGGTGAAAGAAAACAGGCCTAGCAGGTTCTTGCTGAGTTTTTAAATGAAATTTAGAATTGGTGCCCGAGCCCTTTCTGTATCTATTTTGCTTCTGGAATCCTCTCTCCAGTACAACTATCCCGGTGTCCCAGGAAGCCAGGCTCTATGAACTGTTCCTGAGTTAGCCAAAGTGTGTGCTGCAGTAGTATATTCTACTCCATCATTAAATTTTACAGCTCTAATTTTCTCATCCAGTTTCACCTCCAGGAAGGCTCCCATTCTCTTAATACACAGTACGAGACCCTTTGCATCTTCACTGGCTGTACCACGGAAGTCCAAAAAATCAGGACTGTCAAGCTTTCAAATTTTGCTTCTGTTGTTCTTACTTCCTAAACCTGAAGTAGCTTCTTCATTTCCCTATTCTATGCCCCAATCCATTGTCCTCTTAACCTGGCAAAGTAATACCCTTATTCTCAGGGGAAGACTTAAATGTCCCACCTTCACTGTAGTTTTTATAGAACCGAGTATCTGCATTCCCTGCAAAACAGAATTGTTACCTTGTCTGCACCACTCAGTTGTTCATGATTCCCCCTAAGTACCACTACTATACCACTTATGGCAATGTATCAAGCCCTTTCTCTGCTCAGCATCTAGCATAGCCTTGAGACATAACAGACACAGAATAGGGTTTACTGAGACATTATTAACGAGTGACTAGGATAGGTGAGGCAGAGGTGATACAGCGAAACAGCACAATTTTTGGTATTAGAGACATCTAGTTCAAATTCTGGCTTTATCACCTCCTATGGCAAGACCTCCATGAACCTCTGTTTATCTATGAAATAGATCATTTCAATAAGAATCCAATGAGAAAGGGTTATAAATATTTTTGCTACATGGTGAGCACTTAACAAATTTTTGTGTCTCTTGAAATCTGCCCACATTTTCTTCTCTTTATATTCCTCCTTCCCCAAACTCCATGCCATTCCTCTCCCTAGAAAAGAAGAAGGCGGTTGTTGAAACTTTAGATAAAAAAGAATTCTAAGACAAGTTTTAGGTGAGTTCATCCAAGCAGACTCTAAGAAAGAAAGACATCCATTTGACTTTCCATTTGACTTGAATACTATAAATCTGATGTCAAAAAAGTTTCTAGTATGAAGATAAAGATAGGATTCTTAAGCCAAGACTTTAATAATTTCTGGCTGCCATCACTGAGTGGATATAGCAGGCTGTCTTGGTTTGGCTCCATTAAACTTTTGATATATCTAGCGTATATCTAACATATATCAAAAGTTTATATCTGATTCCACTCTCACCAGAAAGCTGGGCCTGACTTCTGGGAAGAATTATTGATCATGCTGATTTCAATTCTTTCTAAACCCCAATAGCTATGATAGCTCATGATCAGTAAGAAATATGGCTTCTGGGTATGATCCAGCTGTGAGGAGAAAAAGTTCTGTCTTATATCAGTACTAAAGGCAAAAAAAAAAAAAGTTTCTCACATAAATTAATCAAGTAGTTTTCAGGAGTCTACACAGTCTCATATACACTGTAGGTTCGTAAGAGAAAATATTGATTGACCTTGAGCCCAAAAACCATTTCTTGCATCTTCAAGTAGAGGGCCAGGTCACTCCAGGATTTCATGCAGCTCCACTTGTTTCCTGTTTCTATAGAATCCGTCTTCATTCTTTGAGATCCTTAGTTCTCCAACAGTAGGAAGACCCAATATCAGTTTTTCCTGAGTCTTCCTTTTCTATTCCAGAGGAAATATCAGACAGCCAAGTGCAAAAGGCCCAAGTATATTTCGTCCAGATGGGCTCTTGCCTTTTCCTCTGGAGAAGAACCAGACCTTGAGGGTGTCTGTCAGTGACTTCTAGTTACAACCTTTAGGTCCTCCTAAGATTTCAGCTCAAATGTTTATATGGATGGCCAGGTGTGGTGGCTCCTGCCTATATCTCAGCACTTTGGGAGGCTGAGGAGTGTGGATGGCTTGAGCCCAGGAATTCAAGATCAAACTGGGCAACATGGTGAAACCCCGTTTCTACAAAAAAATACAAAAATTAGTCAGGCAGTCAGGCATCTTGGCACGTGCCTGTAGTCCCAGCTACTCGGGAGGCTGAGGTGGGAAGATCATCTGAGCCGAGGAGGTCAGAGGTTGCAGTAAGCTGAGATCCAGCCACTGCACTACAGCCTGAGCGACAGAGTTTCACCTTGTCTCAAAAAAAAAAAATTATAGGGATGAATTGATCTCTCTATATCTTGCTATTCCATTAATATGACTTACAGCAAGAATTATGAGAAAGTAGTTTTTAAATAATTAACATATTAAGCATAATATACCTATTAATATAATTAATGTATTGGGCAATAATTAACATAATTAGGCATAGGGAAGAAGTAAGTGCTTACGAAAGATAATATTTGATTTATAGAGTACATCTAAAGGTAGCTAGAAGGTCTACTTAAGGTTCTAAAACGTTTTATAAATTGTTTTTTGAGCAGAAGTCTACTCATGTCACAAAAATATTCTTAATCATATATATAATGATATTGTGAATACAACAACTTTAAGGCAACAGTCCCAGACAACCAAATTGTAACCATTATGTTTACCATCTTGGCCCATATCCCAAGCTCCACATGTTTTCGGCATCCTTTTTGGACTCAACAATAAGGGGCTCAACTATGAAGACTCCTTTATGTTACTATTACAAATGCAAAGAGAACAAATCCATTTATGTAAATATGAATTTGAAATTCTTTGTAGTATGGTGACCATATGCATGGATTCTCAGAAAGCAAAAGCCAAATATTAATTTCCCATTCTGTGGAAGTACTTTAGGTTTCTGACATAGGGAACTGATCCTATTAAGTGGTAATTTACAGTGGCTACTTGTTGCTTACATGTGGAAAATCCATAGGGGTAAGTCATAGGAATTAGGGAAGAGAGTACCCTGAGTAAAATAATATGCACAGCTAATCCTTATGACTCACTCAATATCCTTCTCCCCAATCCCCCCACCCTTCAATCCATCCACCCCACCCCCTGCCACTCAATTAAGTGAAACTGTCCAGCCAGTTTGGCTGCTACAAGAATTTGAGTTGGAGCAAACAGACGTGGTCTGTTTATAAGAAATGGGCCTTTAGCCATGGTTTCATCTCATTTGCACCAGGATTCCACTAGAAGATTTTCTGTGTTGGCTATATGATGCCCTTCATATAGTGTGAAGGAAGTACAAGTCAGGAAAGAATTTTGTCCTTATGGAAGATCAGCAGGAGTAGAAAGCCTCTGTCTGAAATCTGAGAGGATTATGTTCCACTAAAGTTGCTAAATATTCTCATTGGAAAATTACCCACGATAATCCTCTTGAAAGTGACATTCTAAACAAACTATGGTCTTTCTGCTTTGCTTGGAAATCTATGATTTTCTTAAAAAATTCAGACATAAAAAAGGTAAAAAAGATTGCCTTTGTGATATTTTTATTTTCCCCAGAATTTGGGGGCTCATTGCTTGCTATCCACTGGACACCTAAGTCTTCTCTAGAACAACAAGATGTCTGCTCCACCCAAGGCTACCTTTTCTATTACTTGACAGGCTAAAAATTAGTAAACACACAGGCAAAAATGAAGGGCAATGTGAATTGGAACACGTAGTGGTTTGCAGCTTTCTGAACATGTCTTAACCTACAAGAAGCTTTTAAAGAAACTTTAAGTTGGGTCTGCCTCAGAAAAATAAGTCTCTCCTTTTCCTTCCTTCCTTGATAAACTGAACCAGCAATAGTCAATGTAAAACCTACCATATTTGCTCCACTCCACAGTCCTTTAAGTTAGCCTTTACACACATCCATTTCTTTTCAGAATTCAGTAGTGTGATGGGGTAAAGATTTAGAATCTGTACTCTCTCCAAAATTTTTTTTTAAAATATGAACAGAGAATTTAAATACTTAATTTTACCTACAAATATGCTACTTTTAATTTAATTTAGTAATTTATATCATGTGCTTGTGTAAATTATTTTTTCTAACTCAAAAAGAATATAATTTCAGTACAAGAAATGTGTAACATGCAGAGAAACATTTTTCAAAAGGGGAAAGTTAGCCCTAACTTTTACACCACAATCTCATTCCAAACACTATTAGTGTTAAGACTTGAGTGTATTTCCTTTGAAATTTTTTATTTTTCATATTGTCTTTAATATAACAGTGACCAACATGTGCTAGAAATTTTGTAACTTATCTTCTTTTAAATATTATATATATATTTTAGTGGTCTGATGACAAATCTGTAATTCAGATACAACTGCTTAGAGGCTTTGGGAGTTGTTTTTAAATTTTTACTATTACATGGTATCTTAGCGACAAATATAATTTCAAGACAAATAGAAGTGCCATGGCAACTATTCCAGTGACTGGGTACAAGACTTGGATTGTAATTTCTTGGGGCAAACGTGAATTCAGAAGCAAAATTCCTATCATGAAACATCTCACTTTAAATTTCTGGTAACAGAGACACCCTTTTCTGAATGTGCTGATCCAGGAATCTGTGTAACAGAGAAAGACTGGGTCTCCAATGGCTTCAACTGCAACATTGTCACATGGAAGAAAGTTGAAGCTGTTGGGCCAAGACTGATTGTGCCATGGCAGTCCCGAGGTCTCTGCTTATCAAAGGACTAATAATTACTGACCATTGCATTAAGAATACTATTGAGATTATAGATTTGTATAAGAGTTTCCAAATTAAGTCTTAGCATCTTGAATATTCAATAAAAACTGTTGAAGGATGAAGAGTTCCAAATTAACAAACTGCTTCCATGGTAAATAAACTGGTGGCTAAAAATATTGGGGGGCCCTGTAATTCCAAATACACACAAAAGAAATGGACAAAAATAAATTATCTCCACCATTTCCAAGTATAGCCACCGCCTCTCTGCTTCAAGCTTGCTCACTCATAGAACCTGGAAGCCTTCACAGAAGCCTGGTGAAGGAGTTCCTAAGAAGCTTGCCATAAGTCTTCTGAAGTATGTATGGGTGTAGGTGGCACAAATTAAAAATAGAGGCTAGTGCTTGCTTCTCATCTAGAGATTACTGAGGAACTGAGATCTGTTGGATCAGCTCATGCCAATAGGACATGAAGGGGCTATAACGGTATGGTGTTTGTGGGAAGAAAAATTGCGGGTATAACCATTCCAGTTCTCTACGAAATTTTGAGGGTGGAAAGAACTCAGTGGTTCCTCAGCTCCTCATAAAGGAACACAGAGGTTGGAGGGGATATGGGAGCTGTGGGGCCACCAAATGGCCATTAGAAAAAGGTAGAAGGGACTAGACCATCAACTACTGATGCAGCTAAAAAATAATTAATCTGCCACTCTCTGGGAGGGAGCTGGAGTAAAATTGAAAGTCTCCTCAAGAAATCACAACTACTACATCAACAGAGTCCACCAGTGTCAGAGAAAAGGAGACAAAACTCAAAACAAGAATTTCTGCTTAAATGTCTGCTTCCTCCCTGTCCCCTTCTGCCAATGAAGCTAGCCCTTGCTTGGAGAGTGACAATTAGATGTGGTAGGTTGAACACAGTGTTTATTACTCTTCCCTCATAATTCTCCACCAAAATGACAGTAGAGAATTTTTTTTTCAAGAACAAACCTAGAAGGGCAAAGAGAAGAGGAGTAGAAACAACAGATGATGATAGATGGTAACAACATTTTACAGGCTGAAAATGCAGTGGATAAGCAGTAATCAACTTAGAAGATGGGAAAAAAATGAAATTGTGGGTTGGGGGTGAGGGCAGTGAGAAAGAAGCCAGTTCAAACATGTGAATCCTGGGACTGGAGTAACCTGAGGAAGGTGGGTGTGCAGGGTAACACTGAAAACATGAGCATCGGCTTAAAGTTTGTAAATAGGTGATTGCCCCTCCCCCAGCTTCTAGAGGTTTTGAACATAGAAGCTGTAGATTTTGTAACACCATCCACAGCTGGGAACAAAAGTGATATTCCATGCAGAAAACCAGACAATTAACTGAAAATTCACATGCCAAATTTGACATTCCCTATCCTCCTTCCCTGACTGAGCTCCTAGAACAAAGACAATCAGGTTTAAACCCCACAGGCAGAGATGTGTAGAGTTTCCCTCTAGAGAACTGAACAGACCAAGAGAATGGATGTGTAGATGCTGATATTTGGGGTCCTTCAATGAAAAAGCCCGCTTACCATCTTATCTGCTTCCACTCAAGAAGCTGTCAGTCGTCAAATCCTACTCACACATACAAAGCTCCCAGTCAGCTTATCAATGCCACGCTCTGAAATATCAATAGTTAATGCTGTCTTTCTGTGTGTCAAGCACCATTCTAAGCATATTTTAATTTTTATGCAAATTAACTTCTTTATATATATAGATTAATGTTTTTCATATATACACATAAACTTAATTACCACTTTATACCAGTTTTAGAAGTACCATTACTATTCTCATTTTTTCAGTAAGGAAAGTAAAGTACATAAAGGTCAAGTAACTTGCTCAAGGTCACAAGCTACTAAGTAGTATGGCCAGTTTCACAGTCTTTTGGTTTTTATCCAGAGCTCATGCTTCTAACCTGTACATCTTACTGCCTCAAACATGACAAAGTGAAGCAAAAAAAGGGAAACAATGGAACAGGAAACCAGGAACCAGAAGAAAAGTATAACCAACTGTACCACATTTACTCAGGTAAAATATTACAATCATAAAAAAATAAAAACAGGATGCTCTTTCATTCAGAGAACGAGAGTGTGAATGCAGACAATTGGATAGATGAGCTATAAAATAGAATTACAGAACTAAAAGAGATAGAAAACTAGGATGATCTATCTAGAAAGTAACAACAGATTGAGCTGTGGTATGAAATTCTCAAAGAATTAATATAAGAAAACTTCCAAATTGCTTGAATTTTTTTCAATAGAGATGGGGTCTTGCTATGTTGGCCAGGCTGGTCTCAAACTTCTGACCTCAAGGGATCTTCCCACCTTGGTTGCACAAAGTGCTGAGATTACAGGCATGCGCCATGCGTGCGGCCTAAAACTTATGTGTAAATGAGTCAAAGAATAACCAACTAGCACAAGGTTGGACAAAAGATCTACACTAAAACATATTACTGAGAAATAGTCACCAGATATTAAAAGATTATTTTTAAAGTTTCTAGACGGGAAAAAAATCCACAATCAAAAGATGAAGAATTAGAATGGGATGAGGCATGCAACAGCAACTCTGAAGGTAGAATAGGACTGGCATCTGGCCGATTACCAATCAAAGATAAAGATGGGATAAAGATGCATGCAAAATCTCCACAAAATTATATCCTATGTATCTTTTTCCAATAGGAAAACAGGGTTCTAGAAAATGGTCCCAAGTTGATGGTGAGAGGACAATTCAGGAAGACAGTCAAACAGCAACGTCTATAGAGAATTAATCCACATCAGAAGACAGGATAGAGGGCTCCAAGAGGAATATCTTTAGGTAGATTATAATTTGTAAATTTCTTGATTTTTAAATATTGTATCACACAGTTTTACAACTCCAGCAGAGAATTTAGGTCTGAATTACTAGAACAAACACAGAAAATTAAGCAGTGTATGAATGAAGTCAAAATTGTTAAATTCAGGAAAATACTCATAAGAGCCAGGTGTGGTGGCTCACACCTGTAATCCCAGCACTTTGGGAGGCCAAGGCAGGTGGACCACTTAAGGTCAGGAGTTTGAGACCAGCCTGACCAACATGGTAAAACTCCATCTCTACTGAAAAAAAATAAAAATAAAAAAATAAACACACACAAAAATTATCCAGGCACAATGGCACATGCCTGTAGTCCCAGCTACTTGGGAGGCTAAGAGAGGAGAATTGCTTGAACCCAGGAGGCGGAGGTTGCAGTGAGCCAAGATCACACCACTGCACTCCAGCCTGGGCAACACAGCAGGATTCTGTCTCAACAACAAAAACAACCACGAAAACTCATAAAACACTATGTGTCTCAACCATGAGAAACATTTACATACTCATGGTAATGTAAATATTAGCTACTTATTTAACCAAAATAGTGATATAAGATTATATTGGGAAGGGAGAGAGAGAAGCAGGTTGTGAGTTGTGTAGAAAATGGAACAAGAGAGCTAAATCCTCATTGTCCATGGAACAGAATAAATGTCTAAAATTCAAAAAATATTAGGAAATGGTATTAACTGTATTATTTAGAAACCTAGATATAATTAGCTGAATAAATAACTTTCAGAGTTTTCCAGAGACGAGAATCTGAAGACGAGAGGTGGCACAAGGTTATGCTGTTTTTCATTATAAATCTATCCATACTACTTGTTTCTTCAAACCATATGTATGAATTACTTTGATTAAAATGTTTTAAAAAATTACAAGGAAGGCTTTTTAAAGAGAGGGTAGAGTCTCAGAAATGGAATCTAAGTAAAATGGAATGCCTCTTTGCATCTCTGTCCATTAAACAACACCATGACTATGGCAGAGAGAATAATGGCTCCCCAAAGATGCTATGTCCTAATCCCTGAAACCTGTGATGTAAATGAATAAGTATGGATGTAATTAAGGTCACAAACCTTGATATGGAGAAATTATCCTGGATTATCCTTTCCTGGCTGCAGGAAGTGAGATGTAGTAAGAGAAGGGCTCAACTCACCCTTGCTGATCCTTGAAGATGAAGGAAGGGGCCATGGGCCAAGGAATGCAGCAGGCTTTGGAAGCCAGAGACAGCGTTCTATTGACAACCAGCAAAGAAAACAGAGACCTCAGTCATACAACCACAAGGATTTGAATTCTGCCAGTAACACACATGATCAAGGAAATGGCTTTTCCCCCAAAACCTCCAGAAAGGAATACATCTGCCAGCACCTTGATTTTAGCCTGGTGAGACCTATGTGAGACTTCTGACCTACAAAACTGTTAGATAATACATTTGTTTTGTTTAAAGCCATGACATTTCTGGAACTTTGTGATGGCAATAATAGAGAACTAATATAGACTGCCAAATCCCAAGCCATTTCACGCAGTTACCTACTTAAGTGACAACGTCTGAGAGTGAATGTTGACACTTAATATGCTCAATAAACACATGAACTTAAAATTCACTGCAGAGATTGTCTCATCTTCTCAACATAATTGACAAGGGTCAACTGAGAGTCAAGCAATGGAGTATCCATCTTGCCATCACAGGCTGATCAGTAGTTTTTAGCACAGCCAAGAAGTCTGAAGATTCCCACAGTGGGAAAGGGAACTTCAAACAACCAAATTTCTTCCACGTTCTTCCACTGGAGCCATTTCTCAAATGTGTCCAAGCCAGTGGGATGTGTTTATGATGGAATTTAAATATTTATAAGCACCCAAGATAAAAAAGCACAAGCTCAGACTTCAGAAGCCTGCCCTGAAGAAAGGAAGGGGGTGGTCTTGAGCACAGGTGGAAAAACTAACCTACTCTCACAGCCCTCTGAGAAGCGACATTTGCAGAAGTTTCAGGGCTACACAGGCTTTAACAAAAGATGTTGTCCTTCACTTCAACCTGACAGCCAGCAAATCAGGAAAATCGCCCTGATCACTTTCTTAACTAGAACATCAAAGCCTCTTGGAATTAATTAATAAAGAATAACTGAGAAATTGTCTTTATTAAAATTTCTATTTACAGAAAAAAGTCAGGTTACTTTTTTTTTAAGCAGAAAAGTCATCTAAAGTAAATTTTAAAAGGATAATTTACTGATATAAAGTGAGAAAAGTAAATTGACAAATTAAAAAAATGCAAAGGAATCCTATTTCACTACTGACAGGGCACAAATTCCAAAAGTTGTGAAAGAACAGCAACAAAAATGGAAGTAACCTTTTCCATGTTCACAATACATACTGACCTTTCATTTTCAAACATATCTTTTCCTTTGGGAGACACCAAAAATGTAGAATGGAATGAGATAAATATAACTTAGATCCACATTCACAAAACAGAAAAAGAATAATGACTCTGTTCAAGCTATGTAAATCAAACAAAAACTTAACTCTTCTCCTTCTTCCCAGAGAAAGTAGGTGGATTTTTTTGGGGGGTGGGGAGGGGATGGGAGGGAGTCAGTTTTCTATGAAACCTTAATAGACATAGAAAAAAAACAAAGTGTTTTTCTTACTCTCACACACCAGTAAATACAATACTTCTGACACCAGATGTGTGAGGATTTCTCCCCATACACCAAGCAATGAGTTCTCCAGCGGACATCAACTGAGTGCTCTGTAATTCTACTCAGTGCTGACATTATCTACCTGGAGACAGCAGCAGATCACACGGATTAAAGCTCAGTCCCACAATACTGCTTCCCACTTCAGATGCCAGTCACAAGCCCCAGGTTGTGACCTGTGCTTCTGACTGACTGGCTATAAATCAAGATTCCTGGTCCCCCTTCTTGGGTTTGATTAATTTGCTTGAGCAGCTCAGAGAAGTCTGGTAAATACTGCTCACATTTACTGTTTATTACAAAGGATACTACAAAGGATACAAATGAGCAGCCAGATGAAAGAGATGTATAGGGTGGGGAATGGGAGAAGGGACACAGAGCTTCCATGCCCTTTCCAGGCTGAGATGGAGCAGGGACCCCTCTTTTAGCAGGCTGTGGGGAACCCCGAAGCATGGAAATAAAGGAAAATCCTGAGCTCCTTCAAGGGAAATTCCAGGCACCTAGCTAGCCTTGAGAAGTAAATGAGCAACTTAATAAGCAAAAAGGTAATAGTAGTCTAAAACAACAGCCAAGGAAGTTAGTCAAAACAATGTTTGGTTCTCTATAGAAACTCAAGATATCTTCACATGCACCCCTGACTTGTTTTTCAGAAACCCAGACCCCCACCAAACAGATCTGCCTACTCGAAAAACTGAGGACTGAACTCTGACCACTGTTCTCTATTCCAAATTTCTTCCTGAGGGCCTGAAGGAAGTCATGCCCATGAGCTAGAGCTAATATTATTTTCTGCTGATCCCCAATTTTAAACAAAGCTTCATGTCCTGAACCAGCCACAAATGAGAAAAGCTTTGAATCCACCTCTGGCCTGTGGGTCCCCTACTTCAAGAGGTCCTGCCTTTTGAGGTCAAACCAATGTATATGGTCCATGTTTTGATTTATGAGTTTGCCTGTAACTTCTGCTTTCCTGAAATTTGTGCCTGCCTTTAAAAACCCTTACCTGCAAGCCATTGAGGAGTTCAGGAGAGAAAGAAGCATCAGCTGCCCTGATTTGCCTTGCTTAGAGCTCTGCCAATAAATGCCTTCCTTTCTACTCCTGCAAAACCTCGGTGTGGTATCTGGTCTTACTGTACGGAGAAAGTGGGCCCCAGTTGGGTTCTATAACAAAGCGTGCCACTCTCCTGGAACCTCTACCCATTAAGCTATCTGAAAACTCATCTGAACCTTGTTTTGGGTTTTTATGGAGGCTTCATTACATTAACATAATTGATTAAATCATTGGGCACTGGTGATTAGCTCAACCTTCAGCGCCTCTGCCCTCCCTGAAGCTTGGGGAAGTGGGGCTGAAAGTTCCAACCCTCTAATTAGGCTTTGGTTTTTCTGGTAACCAAACTCATTCTAAACTGTATAGGGGCTGCCAATCACTACTATCTAATGAGTCATGCTGTCTCATTAGCATAAAAAAGACACACTAATCACTGGAGATTCCGGCTTTTAGGGTTTTCTTTAGAGAAAGACTAAATGTCCTATATATTTCACGATATCACAAACCCCATGGTTCCCAGTATCTGAGGTGTATTATAAATGAGGATCAGGATGTTTTGAAGTTAATATTCCAGAGGAAGTCTTCAGTTGTCCATTGCTAGTGGAAACATGCTCGCACTTACAATTTTGTTCAGGTTTAAAGTGCATGAATTTTCCTAATGTTAAGTGTGGACATGGTGCTTCATCTCATTACTCATGACTGCCCCTAGAGCCTCACCTACTGTACTACTACTTTAGAAGACTGCCAACCCCAGGTAGAATGATCATGACTACATTGGCCACACATGCCTGATTTGCATATGGTAACTATGGTCACCATAATCAAAGGGAGCATAGAAAATGCAGAATAGGGGATATGTGATTCCCAGTTATAAATTTCATAATTTCCTCCAGATTAGGATTGTACCAATGTAAAATATGAGATTTTTTTCCTCCTGTAAAACTTCATGGAACAAGTAGTTATATCCTTGGGTGGGGAGGTGAGTAGAGTATAATTACCTTTTGACAAGAGAATGCACCCTGGGACTTTCAAGGCACAGTCTTCAGGCCTTTTATTTTTCTTTTACTTCTTTTGTGGGTGTGTAATCCTTTCTTAAACATTTGGTCTACACATGGATAGACCTGTGATTTTAAATGGCCTAATGAGCCTCAGACAGACTTCTAAGTAACACTCATGAATAAGCCAAAGAGAGATTCTCAGATGCTAACATTTATTGTACTGAGATTTTTTTGTTTCTATTTGCTGAATTTTTGCCTCTTTTAAAAAGTTAGCACTTATTGAACATAATATATCCTGAATCTTTTGCAGGTGTTAAACAGCTGACTTCGATTTTTTAAAAGAAATCCATCTATTACCAAACCAAAAAGTTAAAAACAAGCTCTATTTATTTAGGTGATTCTGATAGTAAATCCTTCCTCCCTATTCTGCCTGAGAAAAAGGATTGCATTTCTCTGCAAAATAAACCTTCTGTGAAGATTAAGATATGACCTTTTGTGGACTTGTTCCTTAAAAAGCTGAAGGGTCCAAAATATGACATTACATTTTCTTTCATCTAACCATTTAATTTAGGATGGAGGGCCATGCATTAGCAACAATGCCTTAAAAAAATCAAACAGCATATCTTTCTATATCATGACACAAATGCTGCAGTATGGTAAGTAGCTTTCAGTTAAGGTATTGTGTAGACTGGATATGAAATTCTCATCATGAGAGAATACTGGTGTGAATAAGAGGATCAATCACAGGATAGCAAATGAGATCTGGAAAAGGGAGGAGGATTTTAATAAAGACAAACTAAATTTTAGTTCCTGAGCAATTTAGCCTTGGACTCAGGACTCTACCTTCTACATGTGGGCTTTTTTAATCATAAATTTTCCAATGTTAATGGAATATCACTATTTTATCAACTAGCTCTCTTCTATTGTCCATGCCAGAAAAGGTATTCTCTGCATCCAGCCAGCAGAACAGCAGCAAAGTGGGAAAGGTTGTCTAGAGTACTATTTATTATAAATAGAGGCTCTTGACTTCATTCAAGAGACTGGCATAAATGAGGGGAGTTGTTTCTGGTAGGATGCAAACTTGCCTAGTCAGAGAGAGGTTGTCATGAGATTGTAGCCTTAAGACACTCCAGCATAGATCAGTAATGTATCTGCAAGTGTTCATTTTAATGTACACCTTTGAGCTGGTCATCTGTTCTTATCAGGGATACACACTCCAGGAATGGTGGGCTAGCATGGAAAAAATCTTAAACAAAAGGCCAACTCCAGATACAGTTTTCACAAGATAGCTTTCAGCTATCTTCAAGATTGATAAACACTAGGGGCCTTGTTCTTCAGCATAATGGATATTAGAAATGCTCCTTTCTCAGTGAATTTAGTGTCAAGATATGTGAACTGGGTAGACATACTACAGAGACGTTTGTACCTTCACATAAAAGAGAATGAGGCATAAGAATATGGGAAGCCCAATGGCCTGAACCCTTCAGAAGGGTGGCCTGGGCTCTGCAAAGTACTCTTATGTCTAGTCTCTGATTTGAATAATTCTTGGTCACCACTATCTTGAACTATAGGTGGCTACCAAAGTCAACCAGAAGGAACTTCAAAATTATGAGCTGAAGTGGCTAAGTTTTCTATTTATTTATTTATTTGCCACGGGTTTCTTTGTTTGTTGTTTGCTTTTAATAACACTTCGCAATAGTAGTGAAAGGACTGTTCTAAAAGCCCAGGGCAAACAAACCAAATTGGTTACAGTGTGAGATTCACTGAATCAAATTACCTATATTTTCTTCATGTAGGAAAAAATATCTGCCCTAAAGCACAAAACTGTATTCAAAATGTTACAGTTCCTTGCCCTTATGTCTCATCTAGATATACTATATGAATAGTTCACTACTGGAAAAACAATTCATACCATTCATTCTATGTTATTATAGTGGAATTTTGCTTATGATTTTGTTAAAAATCACTCAGTGATGTCTGGCTTATTTATTTATTTATTTTTGGGTTCCAACAAATTTGCCCAGGAAGGGAAAGTATGAATTGCCATTCACACCCCACTGTGTACTCTTTTCTTTCTTTTGGTGGCTGGGTAGTTCAGAGGGATTTTTCTGGTGAAAAAGGGAAGTATGGGTAATTGTTTTTTGACAACTAAAAATAGCTTTAGATCAAGGATCTTCTTCCTTCATCATATATTCACTCATTCCTGCTCATGGACAGGGAGCATGAAAAGCTGTAAAAATGTTACTATGAGTGCAAAAAACCAATGCCGAGTGAGAGAGGAGATAAAATAGGAGCAGCACCTTAGATCTTTGCTGCTATGGTAGCCAGTCTCCACGACGGCAACCAATGATCCTTGCTTCCTACTAGCTATGCCTTTGATGTCCCTCTATACTGAACAGGGATGACCTCTGTTTTCAATAAAATACTGCAGAAGTAAGGATGTCTGACCTCTGAGAACAGGTCATAAAAGGTATTACAGCTTCTGCTTTGATATCTTGAATCATTTTCTCTGGAGGAAGCCAGCGGCTGTGCCCTGTGGAGAGGTTTACTGGGGAGAAACTGAAGCTGACCACTAATAGCCAGGTCAAGCTGGCCAGCCATGTCCCTGGGCCACTTTGGAAGCAGCACCTGCAACCCCAGTCCAAACCTTCAGATGAGTGCAGCCCAGGCCAACATGTAACAGTCAAGATCACCCAAGATTGCTTCTGAATTTCAGACCCACAGAAACTGTGAAAAATAAGAAACACTTATTTTGTTTAAAGCCACTACATTTGGGGGTATATTATGTAGCAATAGATACAGCTACTAACCCAACGTCATTTCCAACCCCATTCTCTTTTGACTGACTCCTGCTATAGAGATCTTTTAAAAGCAAGATATGAACGTTCTTATTAGCCTCTCTTGTAGCCAGAAGTGGGCATGGAACTCGTTCTGACCAGTGAGACATAAACAGGAGTCTACTGAGGAAGCTGTCTTATAAAAGGAGCAGGTAGAAAGAGAGTTCATCACACAGCACCTTCCTCCCAGTTTCTGCTATGAACATGATGTCTGGGGTTGAGGTAGCTATCTTACAGCAGGGATGTGACATGCATGAGGGTGAAAAGCTGACAGCAGAGGATTGTGGAATGAAAACAAGCAAACAGCTCAGGTCCCTTATGACACTGTTGGGTAAGTAAATTAATGTTGGCAACTTCCTACCACTTTGGTGAGTGATTAAAATAAACCCTGTTTTTATACCACTGTTAGCTAAGTGTTCTATCACTTACGGCTGACAGAACTCCTCATTTTTTGAACCAAGAAGGGGTGCTTTAGAGAACACGTCCTAAAATGTAGAGTTGGCCGAATGAAAGAGATAGGACATCTGGCTGTGAGGTTCCAACTCTTTCTGTTTGGAAACAGGATTACCTTTATTATGCAGTGGTGAAACATTTGTTATAACTGTTGCCTGTTGGGATGCAGGCTGTGCAATGATAAAAGCTGTAGAGTTAGAGGTAAATGTGAAAACACTGATTGGGCCAGCTTATTTTTCCATACATACGTTTCGGAACATTTAGAAAACTCACATGGGAGGTGAATGACTTATGTGGGCACTTCATGGCATGGCATGTTAGAGTATGACCCTTTATACACCACACACACACACACACACACACACACACACACACACACACGTCATTCTGAAAGTTTGCATTTGTATGTTTGGTTTTTATAACAATTTTTGTGTGAAGAAACAAAATAGTAAACTTCAAAACACAAGGGAATAGGCCAGGCGTGGTGGCTCATGCCTGTAATCTCAGCACTTTGGGAGGCCAAGGTGGGAGGATCACCTGACGTCAGGAGTTCGAGACCACTCTGGCCAACATGGTGAAACCCCGTCTCTACTAAAAATACAAAAATTAGCCCAGTGTGGTGGTGCATGCCTGTAATCCCAGCTACTCAGGAGGCTGAGGCAGGAGAATCGCTTGAACCCGGGAGGCGGAAGTTGCAGTGAGCCAAGATTTTGCCACTGCACTCCAGCCCGGGCAACAGAGTGAGGCTCCATCTCAAAAAAAAAAAAAAAACAAAAAACAAAACCGCAAGGGATTTTTCTCCTTGGTGTGTCTCTGCTTCGATGAGTAACACCCAAGTAAACATTATGCAGGATCTGGTATATACTTTTCCTATTTAGCCCATGAATTGAAAACATATATTGGCAAAAGATCAAGATGCAAGATCTCATAAAACATATTTCACTTGTTGCCCTGATGATAAAGTAATAATTGTTAGAAAAGTAATAGTAGCCATATTTCAATTCTATACTGTTTCCAAGCATACTCTATATGCTATTTTATCTAAATTTAACAATAACTCCATGAAGTAAGTTTTTTAATCAGTCCCTTTGCTAGATGAGAAGACTGATGATGCTTACAAAGTAAGCCTAGCACTGTTCAGTCCAGAGCTTTTGGTCATATCATTATGTGTCAATGCCTCCTGTTTCCGGCTCCCACATCTCCCCAACCCCATCCAAATCTAATCAATTACCAGCTACTGTTAATTATATATTTGGTATTACTCATTTTTATCTGCTTTCCAGATGTGACTAGCCTCAGCCACCTCACTGGTCTCCCTGACTCCTCTCCAATCTGACTGCGGCCACAGACATCTTTCTTGTCTATACTTGTTCATATTTCTCCACTGTTGTTCAAAGAATTACATCAAAACTCCTTGACATGATACTTCTGAATTGTGTCACTTACCCCTTCCTTGCTTTCCAGCCCCATCTCCCAGCAGTCCTCTCCATTCTGACACCTCTGTCTCCGAACTCTTACTGCTCATTCTGTGTTTGATCCATATTGGATGTCTCCCCGTTCCTGATGCTTTTCCAGCTCCAGGCATTTGCAGCCGAAAGCACCTCTGCATGGAGCAATTTCCCTGACTCTTTTTGCCCAACTCCCATACCTCCTTCATCTTAGACATCACTTCTGACCCCCAGCTGTAGCTTAAGTGGCCTCACTAGACGTTTCTTTTAGCACGATGTGCTTCTATTAATCCAGGCCTCAGTGTTGTGCTTTTGTCTCTCTCTGAGCCTAGCATAACTAAACTTGCACAGTTAACTACTCATTCTCCTTCTAAAACACACCACATTTTCTACACATACAAATATATATGCATATAGGCAACATATATTTTATACATATGTGATTACACATTAGAAGATTTGAGAAATTGGTCAGGCGTGGTGACTCACGCCTGTAACCCCAGCACTTCGGGAGGCCGAGGCGGGCAGATCACCTGAGGTCAGGAGTTTGAGACTAGACTGGCCAACATGGAAACCCCGTCTCTACTAAAAATACAAAAATTAGCTGGGCATAGTGGCACGTGCCTGTAATCCCAGCTACTTGGGGAGCTGAGGCAGGAGAATTGCTTGAACCCAAGAGGCGGAGGTTGCAGTGAGCCAAGATCACACCACTACACTCCAGCCCAGGCAACAGAGTGAAACTCTGTCTCAAAAAAAAAAAAAAAAGATTTTAGAAATACATATATAATATTACATATAATTATCTAACAGGAGGAGAGATTCTCTTTTCAACTCTAGAGTCATACTCTAATTTATATTCTTAATGATCTTACTCCACCTTCTAAGTAGACTAGGTTCAATCAAAAACTTTCCTAATATACAGCACTCACCTCCACCTTCTGCATCATGGACGGCAGAACTTCTCATCTTTGTCTCCTAAATCACTGACTTGATTTTCTATAGTTCTTTACTATCATTGATATACATTCTAATATTGCTATGTACTTAAACAGAAAACTATTTCTATACCAACCTTTCCTCTAAAAAAAGACAAAAACAAAAACAAAAAAACCAGACTGTCTGGATTTCTTCATTTCTACTTGTGAACTAGAGTCATTTTTATACATTTCCCAATTTATTTTTATTTATTTTACTGTTTTATTTTTCATGGATGAGGCTCTTTTTCGGAAGTGGAGGCACACATGCCGGGGCCACAATTTTTGGTCCCCGTCCAGGTTCTTTCCTGCTGTGGTTGGTGAGAATTCCTCTGTAGCTGTTAAATGGTTCACAACTGTCTTTGGTTTTCATAACTGTTTTGCCTTTTTAAATGTCTTCATGAGTATTTCAGTAGAGAGCCAGGGAAGGACATTTCATAAAATGTGAATATGATGCCATTTTGAACTGAAATCCCTGCCCATCCTTAAAGGACTTATTCTTCTGCCATTATTGGCACCAACCAGCTCTATTTCTCTGAAGTGAAGCATCAGATTTGGCAATAAACTGCAATAGGGAGCTTGCACTACAAGGTAATGAAACTTTCCACAGACTGTGTATCCTATAGTAAAAGTCTCCATTTTATGTAGCCACTCCTTTTATAAAATTTATACCTTCCAAGAAGAAATAGTACTTGGTACTTTAACAATAACAAACCTGTTCTTTGAAAAAACCAAAGAATGGACTCCTAGTTTAAGCCTTTTACATTTTTTTCTTGCATAATATGCTTAATCTTTAATCGGATCAATCCTCATTTTAACAGAGCTTTTAAAAGTGTAAAGTCTGTGGCTAGTTTTCTTGTTGTTATTGTTGTAGTGCCTGTTTGTTATTAAGTGGCTTTGACAGAAAATGAGTTTGGGTCGTAGAAAAGGTTTCTAGATATCTGGAATATCTTTTAAGGTAGCAAAAACCCTTTGTATAATTGAGGGAAGAATTATTGATCTCCAACAGTACAAAGTCACAATGCATAAATTTTAGACCATGAAAGATAGAATCGGCTCCAAAGCATAGGCAATTTTGTTTCAAAGACTGGTTTTTGTTCATGAAAAAAATGTAATGCAGTTAGTCCCCTCATATTTATTAAGTGATAGGTGACTATAAAAGAAGTTTATGAATTGTACAGCCTCCATTTGTATGTTGTACTTCAGTCAGAGACATTTTATGGATGGTTATATAATACTCTTCAGCTTTACATAGCGCCCTTAAATAGAACCACAAAACTCCTCACAGAGAGTTTCATTCATAAATAAATAAAAAAGGAAAAGAAGGCTTTGAGGCAAGATTTAAATAGAGGAAGTGACTCAGTGGTTCAGAGGGAGTTTTGGCAAAGAGATGAAATAGCATCCACAGAAGAAGAAACTAAATGATGAAAGGCCACGGGAAGTTAGAGTCAGAGCAGCAAAGAGAGGAGCAGAGCCCACAGGTGGTTTATAAGAAATACTTAGCACAGAGCAGCATTAGAATCCATGTTGGTGAGAGTAACAGACACATCACTCTACAGAAGATCAAATCAGTGATTAAGGGGCAAAGATGAGAAGTTCTCCTGATACATAGAAGAAAGAAACAAAGAAATGAAAACAACATGAGAAAGAAGATAACAGACATGGAGGATGGAGATTCCAAATTTTAATCTAAACAAAATAGAATTTTCCAAATAAGAAACAAAGACAAATGGAACAAAACTAGTTATAAGTTATTGAAGAAAATATTACTGATATTGATAGAGATCTAAATATTGTGGTTTAAAAGTAAATACTGAAATTCTGGAAAACACAAACTAATTTACAGTGGCATATTGCAGGTTGCCAAGGTCTGGGATGAGGGAAGATCGCCTACAAAAGGGCATGAGGGAGCCTGCTTGGGGGATTGTGGTGGTGGGTACACACCAACACATTTATCATTTATACATTTATCAAAACTCATCAAATTGTACACACGAAAAGGAGGCATTTTATTGTATGTAAACTATACCTAAATGAAATTAAAATTATTGAAATTTTTATTTTGAGATGATTGTAGATTCACATGCAGTTGTAAGAAATAATACAGAGCTCCGACATAACCATTATGCAGTTTCCTTCAATGGTAACATCTTGTAAAACTATTGTTCAGTCTCACAGTGAGGATGTTGACATTGATAGAGTAAAGATATATTCCATCACCACAGTCCCATAACCACAGGGATCCTTCATGTTGCCCTTTGACACCCACATCCACTTCCTTTCTGTCCTCACCTTCTCCTTAAATCCTAGCAACCACTCATCTAGTTTCCATTTCTATAATTTTGTTATTTCAAGAATGTACATATAAAAGGAATCTTATCATATGTAACCTACTGGGATTGTCTTTTTCTCTGGGCATAATTCCCTGGTGATCCATACAAGTCACTGCAGGTATCAATAGTTTGTTTCTTCTTATTACATTCTGTAACTTGTCTTTTCATCTCTTAATAAAGTATCTCACAGAGGAAAGTTCTTAATTTTGATGAAATTCAATTCACCATTTTTCCTTTTACAGACTGTGGTCTGATGTCAACTCTTAAGATCTCTTTGCTTAACCCAGATCCTAAAGATATTTCTACTTAAAATTTGTGATGTATTTTGAGTAAATTTTTGTATAGGATGTGAAACTTAGGTTAGGTTTTTTGTTTTGTGTTTTGTATTGCCTATGGATGTCCAATTTCTCCAGCACCATTTGTTAAAAAGGTTCTCTCTCCCTACTGAATTGCTTTTGCACCTTTGTCAAAAATCAATTGGGTATATTTGTGGGGATCTATTTCTGGGTTCTCTCTTCTGTTCACTGATCTATGTGTCTATCTGTTCTCTGTATACAATCTTGTTTACTGTAGCTATAAAATAAGTCTTGAAACCAAGTAGACGAATTCCTACTTTCCTAATCTTCATTTTCAAAATTGTTTAAGCTGGACTAGATCCTTTGCCTCTAAATAAAACATTTAGAATAAGCTTGTTTATGTTTTGCTTGGATTTTGACAGGAATTCCATGAAACTTATATATGAATTTGGAGACATGACATCTTTCCTATATTATCTTCTAATTTATGAATACAGTATATCTCCACTTTAAAAGTATATTTGATTCACCAGCATTTGTAGTTTGTAACATACAAGTGCTATATATGTTTTGTTAGGTTTACATCTATTTCATTTTTATCCTTGAGAGAATGTAAATGGTACTGCATATTTAATTTTGGTGTCCACATGTACACTGCTAGTATATAGACATACAATTGATTTTGATGTGTTTAACATGCACCCCCTAACTTGTTGAACTCAATCTTTAGTTCTAGAAGTATTCAGTAAATTATGTCATTTGTAAACAAAGACCATTTTATTTTCTACCTTTCCAATTCACATATCTTTTATTTCCTTTCACTGCCTTGTTGTGGAGGCTAGAACTTCCAGAACTTTGTAGATGCTCTTTTTCAAGTTGACAAAGTTTTCCTTTGTTTATACTTTTCCGAGAGTCTTATAATGAATGAGTGTTTCATTTTTGTCAAATGCTTTTTCTTCATTGACTGACATGATTATATGGTTGTTCATCTTTAGCCTGTTAATATGATGGATCCATGGTGTCCCACAGATTGAAAGACTCAACAGATGAAAAGTGCCAATTCTCTCCAAATTGATATACGGGTTTCACACAATTCCTATCAAAATCTGAGCAAGACATAGATAACATTTGGTTTTCAAGCATTGTAACTTGCACCCTGGAATAAACCCAATTTAGTCATGGTATATAATTATTTTTATATATTGCCAAATTCCATTTGCTAATATTTTAAGTATTTTTGCTTCTATATTCATGATGGATAATGGTCTGTAGCTTTCTTTTGTGTACTGCCTTGTCTGTTCATAAAATGAACTGGAAGTGCTCTGTCCTCTTTTAATTTCTAGAGGTTTGTGTAAAATTGGTGGGTTTTTTTGTTTTTTTTAACATTGGTAAAATGTTCCCTTGCAATCATCTGGGCTTGAAGGTTTCTTTTGGGGGAGTTTTAAAATTTTGACCTCAATTTTATTAATAATTGTAAGGCTATTTATATTATGTGTTTAATATTGAGTGAGTTGTAGTATTTTGCATTTTTGAAAGGAGGCCAATTCCATCTAAGTTGTCAAATTTAAGTCAGGCACAGCCACTCAAGAGGCTGAGGCAGAAGGACTGGTCAAGCCTAGGAGTTTGAGGACGGCTTGAGCAACATGGCAAGACAATGACTCTAAAAAAAATTTTTTTAATGTCAGATTTATGTGTGTATAGTTGTTCGTAGTATATCTTTATTATCCTTTTGATGTCTGCAAGGTCTGTAGTAATATCCTGTTTTATTTCTGACATTAGTACGTTCTTTCTCCTTTTTAAGTTTGTCAGTCTTTGAAAAGGTTTGTCAATTTTATTGGTCTTTTCATAAAACCAGCCCTTTGTTTCATTGATTTTCTTTCTTGGCTTTCTGCTTTGAATTTCACTGATTTCTGCTTTTACCTTTATTAATACCTTCCTTCTCTTTCTGTTTTATTTTGCTCTGCTTTTTCTAGGTTCTTGAAGTAAGAAAGATCTTAGATTACTGATATGAAACTCTTCTTCTTCTTCTTCTTTTTTTTTTTTTTTTTTTTTTTTGAGATGGAGTCTCCTGTGTCACCCAGGCTGGAGTGCAGTTTCCTCGTAGCTTCCATGATGTCTGATGAGAAAGCTACTGGCATTCAAATTGTATTTCCTCTGTAGGAAAGGTGTTATTTTTCTTTAGTTGTTTTCAATATTTTTTTCTGTGTCTTTAGTTTTTAGTTTTCAGTATTATGATGTATTTTGGCATGAATTTCTTTAAGTTTTTGTTTAGGGTGTGCTCCACTTCTTGAATCTCTACAACTATGTCTCTTAACAAATTTGGTGAGCTTTTCATCAAATTTTTTCTAGTACTTTTTCCACCTATTCTTTTTCTTCTATCTTTCCTGGTCTCCAGTAACAGGGCTGTTAGATCCCACAGGTCCCCAAAGCTCTGCTTATTTCTTTTTTTCTAGTCTATTTTCTATCTGTCGTCCATTAAGGGTGATTTATTTTGTTCTATCTTCAAGTTTACTGATTCTTTTCTTGGTTCCCTTCATTCTGCTGTTAAATCCACCATTAAGTTGAGGGTTTTTTTGTTTTGGGGTGGTTTTTTTTTTGGTTATTGTATTTTTCAGTTCTAAAATGTCCATTTGATTCTTTTTTAGATCTTCTATTTCTTTGCTGAGACTTTCCATTTCTTTGCTGAGATTTTCTATATTTTCATTTCTTTCAAGCATATTTATAATTGCTTGAAGTATTTTAATTATGGCTGCTTTAAAATATTTGTCATATAATTCTAGCATCTCTGTTGGCATCTATTGAGTGTCTGTTTTCATTGAATTTGAGATATTCCTAGTTCTTGGTTGGATGAGTAATTTTTTTTTTTTTTTTTTTTTTTGAAGCTTACACAATTTGGGTATTATGTTATGTGACTCTGGACCTTATTTAAACCTTCTGTTTTAGCTGGCTTCATCTAACTCTGCTTCAATACAGCCACCCCTGTACTGGCAGGTTAGAGTAGAAGTCTAGGTTCCCCATTTGGCCTATGTTAGACCTTCTGGAGAGGAGGAAACCACTCATCACTAGGTAGGAGTGGGAGTTCTGGCTTCCCAGTAGGTCTCCACTTAAAATTGCCCTGAATGGAAGGGGCAAAAAATCTTTGTCCTATTCCTCATGTGGCACCGACATCACAGAAGGGGGCCTTGCTACTACTGAGTAGAGGGAAAATTCCAGCCTCCCTATGTGGTCTCAGCCTGGCAGAGATGAAAGTCCTAGTTCTTTATTTGGCCTTCTCTGAACACCCTGTCAGGGGGGTTGGAGTGTCTCATTATACCCTGACAAGGGTAGAAGTCTAGGCTCCCAACTTGGCTTTAGAGTGACTGGGGGTGAGTTCACAGTTTTTCAGTGGTGTTTGGCTAGAGTACAGCAGTTATTGTCTAAAATATTTTTGTCTTGTGAGGCTGCCCCTTTCCTTGTCTTTTGGTGTTCTTGGAGCTTTCATTGTCCATGGCCTATTAGGGTTTCCAGATTGCCACCTTCTTTAGCTCTAACTCTGGAATATATAAGTCCAAAAGAACTGACCATCCTATTGCTTCTTGGGTCTTGAGATGTCTAACCAGTCTGTCTTTTTCTCTTTACTTTTTAGAGTCTTCTTATGTTTGTTTCATATATAATATCTAGAGTTTTCGTTTTTACTTAGCAGAAGGAATAGAGAAAAGTACAAATATTTATTCTGCTTTTCTGGGAGCAGAAGTCTCCAAAGTTGACTTTTCTTAAAGAAAATTCTGTTTTAGAGAATGAATCAATGAAAAGATCCCCAAGACAAAAATATTTTGGTAAATACTTCAGTTACATATAATGAATCTACAACTATTCATATATAAATTAGAAGATTATCTACAAAGGAATAAAATAAAAATAAAGATGAATGAAGCAATGAATGGCAGAAAACCATTAAATACCTCGGAGTTGTTTGAAAGAAATAATTTTAAAATTCTGAACTCAAACTGCACTGCATATGTGAAGACAGCACAGAAACATTCTAAGATGTGAAAGGACTCAGTCAATACCATTCACCAATATATCATACTGTAAAAGAATTTAATTAAAGATGTACCATTTATATTCTGACAAATGCAAATTAACTCAAGTATGAAATCTCAGTTTTAAGAAGATTAGCAATGAGCACTGAAACTGTGATTAAATAATTGCTTTAATTATGATTATATAATGTTCTAATTTTATGAATATCAGGTTTCTTGGTATCAAATATAATATCCTTATAATTTTTTCTCAGTTGCTTTCTGAAAAAAATTGAGACCCACAAATCCATACAAAGGGTTGACTAAACAAAAAATTGGTTCTTTGAAAGGATAAACAAGATCAGTAGACTACTGGCTAGATTAACAAAGAAAACATCCAAATAAACACAATCAGAAACAACAAAGGTGACATTACAACTAATGCTGCAGAAATACAAAAGATCCTCAGAGACTATTAGGAACATCTCTGTGCATACAAACTAAAAAATCTAGAGGAAATGAATAAATTACTGGAAATACACAGTCTCCCAAGATTGAACCAGGAAGAAACTGAAACCCTAAACAGACCAATATCGAGTTCTGAAACTGAATTCGTAATTAAAAACCTACCAAAAAAAAAAAAAAGCCCTGGGCCAGATGTAGATTCATAGTCGAATTCTACCAGACATACAAAGAAAAGCTAGTACCAATTCTACTGAAACTATTCCAGAAAACCGAGGAGAGACTCCTCCCTAACTCATTCTATGAAGCCAGCATCATCTTGATACCAAACACTGGCAAAGACACAACAGACAAAGAAAACTACAGGCCAACACCCCGATGAACATAGACACAAAGATCCTCAGCAAAATATTGGCAAACCAACTCCAGCACATCAAAAAGTTAATACACCATGATCAGGTAGGCTTTATTCCTAGGATGCAAGATTGGCTTAACATATGCAAATCAATAAATATAATTAATTAAATTAACAGAGTTAAAAACAAAAACCATACAATCAACTAAATAGACACATAAAATGTTTTCTATCTCATTAGAAATCATCAGTCCTTTCATTCATTTTGTTGTCCCAATGAGCATTTTTTTTTTTTTTTTTGAGATAGGATCTAGCTGTGTCATCTAGACTGGAATGCAGTGGCACAACCATACAGCCTTGACCTCCCAGGCTTAAATGATCCCCCTACCTCAGCCTCCCAAGTAGCTGGGATCACAGGCGTGCAACCCCACATCTAATTTTAGTAGAGACGAGGTCTCACTATGTTGCCAAGGCTGGTCTCAAACTCCTGGGCTCAAGCAATCCTCATGCTCAGCCTCGCAAAGTGCTCCCATGAGCACTTTCTTATCTTTCAAGTTGCGAGTCCATGATCCATCACTTTAACATCTTTCTTGATATTAATCTGTTGTGTCCACTTCTTCTTTATGTTGTACCCGTCAAGTAAGCCTATGACTTTGAACCAATCTAATTATCAGACTTGTCCTTTCCTATGCAGTGTTGGGGGAAATCATACGAACACATGGAACATAAATGTATTATATCTGAAGTCACTGGATCTTCAGCACTAAGCAGAACACACTCTTGGTTTCCCTGGCTGGCTTTCCTTTTTTCCATTCCACACAGTAGCTTGTTCATATCATTGGTCTTCCCACTATCCGCCCACTACTTCCTTCTTCATTCTTTGAAAACATTCTTGTTTACCAGTCCCTGGGAAAAATGGAAAACATGAAGCAGAAAATCCCTAAATATCCTGTCCACCCACCAAAAAAAAAAAAAAAAAAAAAAAAACTAACCTATAACCCTACTTTCTTTCTTTCCTTCCTTCCTTCCTTCCTTCCTTCCTTCCTTCCTTTCTTTCTTGAGACAGAGTCTTGCTCTGTCACCAGGCTGGAGTGCAAGGTGTGATCGTGGCTCACTGCAACCTCCGCCTCCCAGGTAAAAGTGATACTCCCGCCTCAGCCTCCCGAGTAGCTGGGATTACAGGCATGTGCCACCACACCCAGCTAATTTTTGTATTTTTAGTAGAGACAGGGTTTCACCATGTTGGCCAGGATGGTCTCGATCTCCTGACCCCATGATTCAGCCTCCCAAAGTGCTGGGATTACAGGCATGAGCCACCGCACCCAGCCCTCCCTTCTTTCTTCTTTCCTTCCGGCCACAAGAAGCAGTTCTCCCATTCAAGGCTCTTTTCCTCAAACTGTCGATCAAATCCTATTCTCTCTACCCTATACAGAGGCTTATATCCACCAGTATATAAGCCTGCATATATAAGTATATACCATTATATATAAGTATATATTTCTTCTCATTATCTGAATTATCAACCTCAGCATTTATACTTACCGGCACACCTATTAAAAAATAAAATACATTAAATTTCAAAATAAATAAGAACCTTGCTGTCACATCCTGTGCTCCCACCTTATCTTCTCCCTATCCTACCTAGACTCTTAAAAGACTTGTCTTCACTCACTGCCTCCGTTCCCCAATCCCCACTCCTCAACCTGCTGCAAAATGGTTTTGGTCCCCACTCTATAGAGAGTAATTCTTTCCCTACAATGGCTTCTGGAATGCTCAAACTAGTGGAAACTTTTATTCCTTTCTCTTACTTCACTTCTCTTTAGTTCTCACCACCCTTGAAAACTGCCTTCTTCTTAAAACGGTGTTTTCACTTGGCTTCACTCATGCTGGATTTTCCTGGTTTTTCTCTTCTCTCTTGAGCCAGTACTTTATTTATTTATTTATTTATTTATTTATTTATTTATTTATTTATTTTTTGAGATAGAGTTTCACTTTTGTCGCCCAGGCTGGAATCTTGGCTCACTGCAACCTCCACCTCCTGAGTTCAAGCAATTCTCCTGCCTCAGCCTCCCGAGTAGCTGGGATTGCAGGCGCACGCCACAATGCTTGGCTAATTCTTTTTGTATTTTTAGTAGCGACAGGGTTTCACCATGTTAGCCAGGCTGGTCTCAAACTCCTGACCTCAGGTGATCCGCCCGCCTCAGCCTCCCAAAATGCTGGGATTACAGGCCTGAGCCACCACATCCAGCCTGGCCGGTACTTGTAAATTTGCTTTGTAAAGTTCACTTTCTTGGCCCAGCCTTATGTATCTATATTCCCCAGGGTGTTCAATAATACAGCATTAGTAAAATAATTACAGTGGACATATAAGAAAAAATTAGATCGCCATAAAAATGACACAGAAAAAGATTTTTTTTTTTTTTTTTTGAGACAGAGTCTCTCACTGTCTCCCAGGCTGGAGTGCAGTGGCGCAATCTCAGCTTACTGCAAGCTACGCCTCCCGGGTTCACGCCATTCTCCTGCCTCAGCCTCCCGAGCAGCTGGGACTACAGGCACTTCCCATCATGCCCAGCTAATTTTTTGTATTTTTAATAGAGACGGGGTTTCACCGTGTTAGCCAGGATGGTCTCGATCTCCTGACCTCGTGATCTGCCCGCCTCGGCCTCCCAAAGTGCTGGGATTACAGGTGTGAGCCACCGTGCCCAGCTCCAGAAAAAGATTTTAATTAAATTTAAAAGATTATAAGCATCATTGCACATTTAGCATAATCTAATGTTAAATAAGTGAAGATGCTTGTTCCCAGTTATTCAGTGGAGGACTTTGTTTCAGTTACATACATCAGTAAATCAGCAGTTCTCATCTCTGTTTGCTCATTCCGTTCTTCAGGGAAGCTTACTGATACCTAGGATCCATTTCCAGAGATTCTTTCTTAAGTGGTCTGGGTTATGCTCCTGGCATTATGATTTTTAAAAGCTCCCCAGGTGACCCTAGCATGCATCCAGATTGAGCCAGTGCAATAAATTCTGTTTATTGTTAATGACTATTTGAGTTAGATTTCCCTGACTTGCTCTGTAAAGCACTCTAGCTCCATGTTTCCAAACCTTAACATGCATAAAAATCACCTGGAGATTTTCTTAAACTACAGATTCCAATTCATAGCTTTGCAGTGTTACATTGGTTTGCCAGGACTGCTATAACAAAATACTGCAAGTGGAGTGGCTTTAAAAACAAAAATATATTGTCTTACAACTTTAGAGGGTAGAAATCGAAAATCATGGTGTTGGCAGGATCGGTTCCTTCTGAGGACGTTAAGAGAAGAATCTGTTCCAGGCCTCTCTACTTGGCTTGTAGATGGCCATCTCCCCTCTATGCATTCTCTGTGTCCAAATTTTCCCTTTTTATAAGGACAATAGTCACATGGATTAGGCCCTCCCCCCAGTGACCTAACTTTAACTTGATTACCCCTGTAAAGAGTTTATCTCCCAATAAGGTCATATTCTGAGGTATTAGGGATAGGACTTCAATATGTGAATTTTGGTGGGACATAATTTAAACCATAAAAGGTGGAAATCAAGAATTTGCATTTCTAATAAACCTCTAGGTGATGCCAACACTGCTGGGCCATGGATTACCCTTCGAAGAACAAGGTTCTACCAGACACAATTCCTGTGCATGGGACTGGGTGGAATTGAAGCACGCTTATTTTCAGATAAATACAATTGAGAGGATCTAAGGGACAACCAGCAGGTGGGCAGAGTACTAGAAACAGGTTACTGGTCATGCCTACGGGATGGATTAATTTAGGAACATACAAGAGACCACCCCATCACAGAGGATCTCCAAGAGAGACTTGGGGTGGGAGAAATAAACCTTTAAGTAATGATACACACACACACACACACACACACACACACACACACATACACCACAAAGTAATTTGGTGAATATAGTGAGAAAAGAAGACAAAGAGACAGAGACAGGGACAGAGATGGAGACCAACGAGAGAAAGAAATACACCAAAATGTCAGAAATACTTTTCTCTGGATGGCTTTAAGAGTGAATAATACATTCACATAACTATTTTTCCCAGACTTTCCAGATTTTTTTTTTGAAATATACATGTATTACATTAGTAAGCAAGAAAAAGTTAAAATAGCTATTTAAAAAGAATTACCCTTAATTAAAAATTAAACAAAGTCCATAAGACTGATCAATTCTTTATTTACCTTCATGAAAGAGGGAAATAATTCTTCATTGCAGTATGAAGATAAAATAGTTTACTAATGTGCTGCCATTAGCTGGACAGTATGCTAACATTTTTAATAATGTCATTTAAAGTACTAAACCTGCCTGTTTTCTACATATAGAAAACAAGATTGCTGCTATACTAATGACTGTCACATTGAATTCTCAGTTATAATTGAAATGCCTGAAATTACGAGAGTTAGTCATTCATTCAGCAAATATTTATTAGCACCCACTCTGAGGGAAGCTCCGTTCCTGGCACTAGACATATCACAAGAAGCAAACGAAAAAGGATTTGTCTTCAAGGAGCTTAAGTATTAGAGCATGATTATAAGTATTAATTTTTTTAAAAGGTAACATGAAAATATAAAATATGTTGAGATCATTTCAGGTCCCAGTACGGCTAGAAAGAAAATTAAATAGAGCGCTATGATGCAAAGTGGAAGTTCTTTAGCTTCTATAGTCATGCAAGATTTCTTGAGGAGGCAGTATATGAAATGAGACCTGAAAGAGGAGGAGAATGCCACACAACTCCCTGGAGAAAGAGCATTCCAAATCAAAAAAATAGTTATGTGCAATGTTTCTGTGATAGGGATGAGCTTGGCAGGTTCAAGGTCCCAAAAGGAAGGCCAATGTGGCAGAAGCACAGTGAACAAGGAGGGAGAGAGGAGGGGCCTGGGGTTAGAGGACTAGGCAGGGTCTGGTCAGGTAGACCTTGAAGCCTATGATAATAAAAGCGATTGGATGATTCTAAGCAGAGAAATAACATGATCTCATCTTTAAAATAGCAGTCTGACTTCTATGTGGGGAGGATGGGCTATAGGAGGAGAACAGAGGATGTGAGGAGACGAGTGAGGTGGCTCTTGAAGTAGACCAAACTGGTGACACAGTGCAGGCTAGGTTTCAGCAACAGAGCTGGTAAGAAAGAGTTGAATTAGGACTATAATTTGGAGGTTGAACCAACAGGACTTGTCAATGGACAAAAATAAAAAATCTCACAAACCTCAAGGACATTCTTTGGATGTTAGCTTAAGAAAGTAGGCCTTTGATGGCACCATTTGCTGAAAAGAGAAAAGCTTGCTTTGGGGCAAGGGGGAGATACGTTTGACAAAAACAAACAGCTCTGTTTTGCATGTCAGTTTAGAGTTACGAATTCTAGTAGAGATACCAGTTTGGCAGTTAGATTTAAAGGTCTGGACCTTAGTTGCAGACTGAGCTGGCGAGAACAATTTAGAGATATCTGTGTATCAGTGATTTAAAAAACTCAAACTGGATGAGGTCATCAGGAGAGAGGGTATGGCTGAAGCACTAACATGTAAAACATGGTAGAGAAAAAGAAGCCAGCAAAGAAGACCAAGAAGAAGGAAATCCAAGAGGATGTTGTGTTGCAGAAAGCCTGAAAAGACCATGTTTCAGAAGAAACATGTAACCAGGGTGGCTGCTGAGAGGCTGAGTATAGGAGGGGCTTAACTATTGGCACTGACAAGACATAGATCAATGGGGATCTGGTTGAAAGCTTTTAGTAGAGTTGTAGGAGTCAAATTCCAATTTCAGCAGACTGAAAAAGAAATGAGAGGGGAAAATTTAGGGTGAATTTGTGAATTAGTGAATTTGAAGAATGTTTTCAAGTAGTTTTTCTGTGAAAAAAAGCCAAGAAATGGGGTGGCACTTGAAAGAAGGACCAAATTAAGGGGATTTGTTTTTCATTTTAAGACGAATTATATTACAGTATGTTTATTTGCCAGTGGGGATGATCTGGCAGAGAGGAAAAAGTTGATGATGCAAGACAGAAAGGGGATAATGGTAACTGAATCTTTCAGAAGGTACAAAAGACAGGATCTAAGAAAAAAACTGAAGCGGTTGGTTTTAGGGGCAGGAATCACTTTTCAGTGTAACATGATGAGCAATGAGAAGTTAAAGTAGTTATTGACTAATTTTATCAATTATCTCTAAGAATTATAGATTGAGGTCATTAGCTAAAAACATTTAAGAAGAGACTGGAGAAGGTGTGAAATGAACATCTTAGACAATAAGAAAGTGAGTCCTCTAGTCCATCTATGCAGTGTGGAGCACCCATTTCACACTTTTGGTTGTAAATTTGTAACGAGTCCAGTGAGTAAAGTTGCATGTTTTTTCACTGACATTGTTCAAGAGCACAAATACAGGTGTGGCGCCAAGTAGACAGTTGGTTTTAACCAGCCTCAGGGGGTTCCCAGTCATGTACAATGAAGGGACAGGGGTGGCAAGAAGGTTATAATGCTGGGACGGGAATCCAGGCCAGTAGACAGAGAGGTGAGGGCACAAGGAGAATGGTGAGGAACTGAAAACAGGTACAGCTGTAGATTAGTGGGAGAGTTCTTGGAAAGGCAGAATCAGAGTAAGTGAGGTAAACAGAGGAAGTCAGAGACTGGGTTGTTTTTATCAAACAAAGTTTTCTGAGGTGGCACAACTCTGTTGTGATGTTGGCAGTGATTACATCTAAGGTATGCCCGCCTGAATGAATTTCCAACAGGTAGTAGCAGAGAGGAAGACAGATCATCAAAGCCAAAGAGGTCTGAGAACTGATGAGTGCAAGTTCAGGCCAAGCTTACTATAAAAACCTCCTGGCTGGGCACGGTGGCTCAAGCCTGTAATCCCAGCACTTTGGGAGGCCGAGGCGGGCAGATCACGAGATCAGGAGTTCGAGACCAGCCTGACCAACATGGTGAAACCCCGTCTCTACTAAAAATACAAAAATTAGCCAGACATGGTGGTGGGCACCTGTAATTCCAGCTACTTGGGAGGCTGAGGCAGGAGAATTGCTTCAACCTGGGAGGCAGAGGTTGCAGCGAGCCGAGATCATGCCACTGCACTCCAGCCTGGGTGACAGAGCAAGACTCCATCTCAAACAACAACAATAACAAACTTCCCATACTCTCTGCCTTACCCCATTTCACTGGCTGTATATCAATGTCAAGGAGACATTACCTCATATTGAATATGGGAGAGCCTCTCTCAGCCTCAATGACTATATAGAGCAATCCTCCCAGTTAGAAAACTTTACGTGAGAAACCTATAAACTGAAGGTGAATATGCCATTCAAATTTTGGTGTTAATTTGTTATAGCAGCTGTCACTGTAACCAATATTACATCCATCATGTGTCTTATAATGGAAGTTGGAGACGTCTTCAAAAAAATTACTTAGATGTAGTGGCCTCACACACCAACCATAACTCCACATTTCCTCTCTAGTTTAATAAGGAGAGGAACAAGAAGAGAAGAGAAATGAGTTGTTGGCTCCCACTCACAGTGTAGTGTACTATACTGTACACTATTGTATAGTAGAGTAGTAGAGTATATCTAAGGAGGAGAAAGTGATGGTGTCCCTCACCCCAAGTCAAGTAAATTCGAGGGCTCTCAGTGAGTCACTGGTTAGAAATTGGGACTGCATGCAAGAAGGGTGGATTGGCTTCTTTTTCCTGCTGTTTTGTTTTTCATTTAGTTAAGTTTCAGAAACCTGAAGGCCCACTGTGGTAACCAGCCTGCAATATGACCCACAAGAATCCTGTTGGTATTCATATATCTGTGTAGCCCATTTTCACACTGAATTAGGGCTACTCTATGTGACTACTAGAACAGGACAGAAGTGACAGTTTGTGACTTATGAGCTGAGGTCACAAAACACATGCAGCTTTTGCCTTGGTCTCTTGGCTCACATATTCTGGGAGGAAGCCAGCATCATGTCATGAGGACGCTCAGGCAGCTCTACTAATAGGCACGCATGGAGAGGAGCTGAGACTTTCTGCCCATAGTGAGCCCCAGGATGCCAGCCATGGAAGTGAGCTACCTTGGAAGCAGATCCTCCAGCCCCAATAAAACCTTCAGATGACTACACCTCCACATGACATCTAACTGTGACCTCATGAGAAACCCTGAAATAGAACTGCCCAGCCATTTCTTTAGAATTTCTGACCCAGGGAAACTATGGGATAATAAAGTATCATTGTTCGGTTAAGCATAATTTTGGGAGTTGATCTGTCCTGCATATTAGATCCCTATAACATCAGAGAAAGCCTGCCTAATCCATTCCCAGAAGTGTGAGTGCATTCATAAGCAGAGACTAGTGACTGCTCCCAGACTAGAAACTTCCAGAAATGAGAGCCTCACTGGAGCAGCCATGCCAACAGGTCTTGTAGGGACAAATAGAGTACTGTTCCTAGGAATGAAATGAGTCAAACTCCACACCACTCCAGTTTCCCCGGGCCCTCAAAGAACAGAAGAAATTTTCTGTAGCTTTCTTGGCTTATGTGATGACACATGGAGAGGAAGAGCCAGGCAAAAGCCATGGGTTACACAAGAAGCCACCAGGCCAGGCATGAGGCTACCCCACCCTGTGAGGGGTGTGGGATTTTACGGCTGGAAATGCCAAAGGAAAACTAAACAGCCTCTCTGTGAGAAAGTACTCACAACAAAGGGGACTCAAATAATTGTAAGCCTATCCCAAGACAATTCATCACTCAAAACACATTCACCTTAAATGAAGTGTCCATAGCATCAGACAGAACTAGATCAAATCGGAGTACAGCCAGGGACACTTCCCCTACCGCCTGTAACCAGAGTAACACAAGAGAGTATCTGCCTTTGCTAGTTCCCTGACCCGCAGATAAGGATCTAGGTCTTGATGAGGATGAGGAGAAGGGAAATCAGAGCCAGGACAGATCTGCCCCTTAAATGGGAAAAAGATAGGACTTTAAGCCGAGTTTGGGATTATAATAATATTAGGTCTCATATTAAAATAACCAGAAACTTATGGAGTCATCTCAATAGGAAATTAAGAGACGGAAAGGGGGAAGGGGTTCAACATAACAGAGTTGAAACAATAACTGGAAAAAACCAAGACCATTTCATGCCTCTATCTCAGAGTTGAGACTCCTCAATAACGAGGTTATACATCATATATTCATGCTGACTTGTAAATATTCAGAGATTAACAACATAAATGCCAACAGACAGAAGGCCTAGAATTCATGGACAAAAATGGCTTAATCGAAGACTTGATACAATAAAGGAATAATGTGTTTCACTGTCATTAGAGGCTTTGGTTGTTTTAATTCCCTTTCACCTAAGTTGTTCTAAGGTTTATATTTCATGAAATTAATAATTTAATTCAATTCCCTCTAAGAGTTTTCCTTGGTACTGTTGTGTCATGGATCACTAGATTTGGTGTCTGACTGAGGTTATCATCCCAGCTCCATCACTGAAGAGCTGCAAAAGCTTCAGCCAGACATTTATCTTCTTTCACGTTAGGTCCTTCATCTAGAAAATGGGGATTATAAAATCTACTTCATGGCCGGGCGCAGTGGCTCAGGCCTGTAATTCCAGCACTTTGGGAGGCCAAGGTGGGTGAATCACGAGGTCAGGAGATCAAGATCAGCGTGGCCAACATGGCGAAACCCCGTCTCCACTAAAAATACAAAAAATTAGCTGGGCCTAGTGGCGGGTGCCTGTAATCCCAGCTACTTGGGAGGCTGAGGCAGGAGAATCGCTTGAACCCGGGAGGCAGAGGTTGCAGTGAGCCGAGACTGCGCCATTGCACCCCAGCCCGGGCGACAGAGATTGCGCCACTGCACTCCAGCCCGGGCAACAGAGTAGGACTCCGTCTCAAAAAAAAATCTACCTCACGAGATTACTAATTAAATGTTACAGGGCCTGACTGAGCACTTGATACAGTATATGCGTTCTGAAAGACACTTAAAACAGAATCTAATAATTATAAGTTTGTAGATATGATAGGCTAGCATCGATTGACATTATTGTCAATCTCAAATACAGCACAGATATGGTACTGACATACCACTACCATGGAAAAATTACTTCTGGGATGACAACAACAAAGGAAATTATTCCTTTCTTACTCACCAAGGGGAAAAGAAGCATAATAGATACATATATATCTCCACAAATTCTATAGCAGTTATATACATATAACTGTTTTCATGGAAATTTGATTTATAGCTTTAAAGAAAAAAAAATCACCTTAAAATCATGTAACCCCTAATGTATCCTTTCCCTGAAGCTATAAACACACCTCCAGTTATTCTGTCCAACAAAAATACACCACAGCAGGTGGAGTCACAAAAAAGTAAACGGTTTCAATCTTTTCATTCATTTCAGTCTATTCCCTCAACAAAAACTTCAAACTGCAGGTGCATGCAGCATACTTCTGCTATGACAAGAGCAGTGTATCTCTGTAACCAGGGCTTCATCTAATGATGTGTGAACTAAATGTTAACTGCAGCAAAATGACTCCAAGCCAAGAAAGCCCCAGTTGAGGGTCTTGCCTGGAAGAGGGGCTAAACCACAGGAACACACCAAAGAGTGGGGTTGGATCTCTGGCCCTCGGGAGATCATCATTCTTTCCTTCCCTTCAACTTCTAATGTTTCGAGAACAGTGCAAATTAAATTGGAATTCTGTTTGCAGACATTCCTCATTTTAGGGTCCAAATTTGATTTCAGTCTGGAAACTAGCATCTAAATGAGTTTGAGAGAGGAGTAGGTTTTAAGAAAGGTCAAGGAGTAGGTTTTAAGAAAGTAAAACACTAACCAATTATTGTAGGGAATCAGTTTCACATCTGGAATTGGTTACATGTGGGACAGAAGGAAGAGTTTTCTTAGGACAGTTGGTTTAATTACACTTTTTAAAACAAGAAAGAATAACCTAATCTCAAATGCAAACCGGCTACCTCTAGCTAGTGGATCTATTTGCTTCTCATCATATTTCTACCAGAATTATTAGTACTATATCCACAAATAGTTTCAATCTGTTGTTGCTTAAGTAAGGCAAACTTTGGAATATCCCTTTGAGGTACACATTTTTCCTGGGAGAATTAGTGTGTTAGGGTCAAATCTCGGTGTTCAGACATCTTGTCTATTAAAAAAAAAAAAGATGCTATGATAATAAGCATGATTTTGACTTAAGACTGACCAAGATTTTAAAATACTAGCTGTGTGACTCTGGGAATGTTACTTAATCTTGCTTTATCTTTTCCTTATCTGGGAAATATGGATCATTCTTATCTTAAAGAGATCTATATTATGATTATTATATTAAATTGTATAGCATATGTAAAACAACAAACAATTATGACTATCTGGCTATAGAAGGTAGTCAATAATTGTTAATTCTCTTGCCCCTCTCGGCTCCTTCCTTCTATTATTTAACAACTTATTTTTCCAAAGGCAATATGTTTTTGGCAAATATAATGAGACAGGAAGCTCAATATAGCCTACAACCTAAAACATCAGTAGTATGGCACAGAATACAAGAAATTAAGCATATACATGGATTTAAAAGTATTCTCCATTGGATATGGCCAAAAAAAAGTTTATTGTTGTGGTTTAATACAGTTCTTGAAATGTATCTCCTGGCATATATTTTTATGATTGTGGTAAACTGAACATTTTTGATTTCACCACTGTCCCCTACCCCTCCCCTGACCTTGCCAAAAATAGTAATTACTCACATATTGTGATCATCTTGACCCTCTGTAAGCAGGACAATCACTGTCCCTGGCATTAAAGAATATCCTGGCTCAGAGTGGGTCATCAGCTTTGTAACTGACGCCTCCATAACACTCAAGGTTACCAGTGGACAAGTTTGCAAAGTAAAACTTTGTCAGAGTAGGGGAGAGAATTCTGCTTTCCTATGAAGTTTAGTGTAGCTAAGAATAATGCTGAAAGCAGTATTTTACTCCCAAGGAGCAGGTTATAACCTTTTCAGTGAAACCCAGCCAGTACATTTATAGCACATTAACACTAGTGAATGGAAAAGAGCGAGAGGGAGAGAGGATATAATTATATAAATTTTTTTAATTTTTAATTTTTTTTTGAGACAGGATCTCCCTCTATAATCCAAGCTAGAGTACATTGGCACAATTATGGCTCACTGCAGGCCTGACCTCCTGGGTTCAAGTGATTCTCCCACCTCAGCCTCCTGAGGAGCTGGGACTAAAGGCACACGCCACCGCACTCAGCTAATTTTTTGATTTTTTGTAGAAACAGGGTCTCGCTATGCTGTCCAGGCTGGTCTTGAACTTCAGAGCTCAAATGATGCCCCGCCTCAGCCTCCAAAAGTGATATTGCCTATAATTATAGTCACCTAGCCTATAATTATATTTGTTAAGGCATCAAGGCATTGGTTGTTTTAATTGCCTTTCGCCTAAGTTGTTCTAAGGTTTATAATATATTTCATGAAATTAATAATTTAATTCAATTCCCTCTAATTGTATTGTCTATTTTCCCCCACTTGAATCTGTGTGCAGACGTAAATCTGTAAGGTTGAGTTAGGGGACAGATAGTGGACCAGTGCTGACCAAAGAGATCACAGTGACATCTAAAGATGATTTCAGAAACACCAGATGCTATAGACCCAAAGTGGTGGAACAAGGCATCACAATTATCCAAAGAAAAGAGAGTTGTTTGTCCACATTTTGAAAGCCCCTAGGGACAGTTTTCAGGCACTTGGTTTGGGTCTTTGTGTGTGTGAAGCATATAGTGCAGGACGAGATTAAATCGATATTTAAATGACATGCAAGACACGGGAACCACTTGATGTGGTTGAGCATTTGCTCTCGTTACACTCTGTTCTGTTTATAAACATTCTAGCTATGTGAATAATAAAAAGCCAAGCACAGGCCTTTGTCATCCCTTCATGATCTTTCTGGTACCGGAGGAGCTTAGGAGGAGGTGTTGAGTTTTTGTGTGCTAAAGCTTGTCAAGGGCACATCAAAATGTAATAACGAAATCAACTACTAGACAGATTGGATGGCAGATTTTGGCAGCTAACAAGGAGCTTTCTCGTTATAGGATGTGCAAGCTTGTGGGTTGCACTGCAATTAGAAATGAACTTTTTTTTTCCCCTGAGCTCTTCTTATCCTTTTCATTCTCATAAGTGACAACAGCAAAAGACTAGTTCTCACTCTCTAATGTACTCTATCCATCTCCCTGTTGCTAAAGTAACTAGCATCTTAATTTAACATCAAAATTTTAAAAATTGGATCAATGCTATTCAGTGTTTGTGAGATATTGATACCTTATGGGAAAGTAAGTGATATATTACTTAAAACTAATTCTCTTGACTTCTTTCTATGTATGCAAAATATCCTTTTGGTATCCTTTTTTTTTTTAATTGTTGTTGTTGTGGTTTTAACCATATGTCTCCAGTAGGAAAGCAAGATCTTTGTTTCTTAACAGCTGATATGTACTTGCTACTGTGTCACACAGGAGTCCGCAATACTGTTAGCGGCAACAAAATCATTTCCACAGAAACTAAATTTAGCTTTCAAGAAGAGAAAAACAATACTATTTTTCTGCTACTTAATAGATGGATTTCATGTGAAACAACACAATGAACCAAGTCAAAATGTTTTTCAGGGATTAAAAATAAGACACCCAAAGGTCCAAGTGGTTCCCTCAGAGATTCACAGCCTATCTGGGTGAGGATTAGGACCTCCTGCAGCTGACCAGGCAGCTCCCAGGCAATCAGAACAATTCCAGAAGAGAGGAGAGAAGAAACTGAAAGGGAGGGAAAAGGAGATGGGGTCACTGAAGTCAGCTTTTTAAATACACGTCGGAATGTCCATTCAAGAGTCAGCTAGCTTACTAAGCCATTTTTCCTGATAGGAGGGTTGATGTATACAACTGTCACAGAGTAGAAGTAATGGACAATAAATTCATAACATGCTATAAATTTTCAAAGGACAAGAAGTTTTTATTTTGGAAAAAAAATAATAAGCTCAAGAATTGGGTATTAAGTCCTTAAGAGATAAGAAGAACTAAAGAAAAGAACTAATCCCATATTCAACCCTTTTTTATTTTACCAGAAGAAAAAAGAAATGTAGTTACACATTCAAGTGTTCTTTGAATAGTCCACCATTTTAAAATGCATTTAATATATGCCAGGTGCTAGACCAGGATCTGGGGAATCAGAGGTAAACTAGAAACTTCCTTTGCCCAGCCATGGTCAAGTAAAAGTAATAAGGACAGAGAGGTGCTGAGACTAACTTATGCATGGTGCCCAACAGAGATACAAAGATGAAATCATTAAGTCTCCTCTTCATGGTAGAGATGAAGCTGAAGCTGAGTCCTAAAAAGTGAACAGGCATTTTCAAGACAAACTGGGAGGAAAGGATATAATAGGTAAGGGAAAAGCCAGTGGTCAAAGCCTGGAGAGTTAGAACAGAGTGTGAGGAAAGAGGCAGATCTCCAGAATAAAACAGACATGAGGTTCTGAAGATCAAATATTCCACAAGAAGGGAGTTTGGATAAGAAGGTCATTAAGGTGCTTTAAGATGGAGGGGACATGATCTATGCCCTTTACAAAGATCTTTAGGCAGCACTGTAGCAAACAGATCGGAGAGGGAAAGTATTATTATAGCAATACAGATTTTTCTTTCAAAATAATGTTTGGTGGAAGCAACCAGTGCAATTCCCCCAACTTCTTGTTCAAATATCCATGAAGACAGAAAAAATACTAAAATAAACCTAAAACTAATATCAACAGACTATGTCTGAATTTAGGAAAATGTGCAATAGCTATTAGATAATTGGAGCTAGGCTGAGATGCATCTGTCTCTATACCATTCTATTTTCAGACACAGACCAAAAACCAGAAAGCCACTGAGTAGTAAACATGAAGGTGGAGGGAGATCCTAGAGGTAGAATAGTACAGCTTTGAAGATGGAGATAGACATAACCTTGATATCACAAATGTATTTTTTCATGTATTCAATCAGTTCATCAAACCAGAGAAATAAGAAGGCAGGGCAGGAGTAAGTTGTTCTGTTGATAGAATAGAGGTGCACTATAATTTATGCCTGTTAGAAAATGGGTGAATAAATGAATCTGCCCTCCACATGCAAAACTAAGAAAGTAATTCAACCTCAGGGTATAAAGGACAGTTTAGCTTCCTTATTTACTGAAAAATACTGAAACTGAACACTTGTTTGAAGATAAGTAAAAGGAAAACCAACATGGAGAAAATGATTTGCCCAAAAAGGAATAAGAAATAGCATCCAGAAAATAGGGAAGAATAAAAGACTTCATAACATTCATTTATTTCAGGACTGAGTAGAAATTTCATGAAAACATCTGGCTTCTTCAATGAGGACAAAAAGTCAAGGATCTAGGATGGGATCAAATAATCTTAAGGAAAGAACAGGTGGAGGTAAAAAGATACAAAGATGAAATAAAATGAGTGATGACAAAATGAAAAAATAATTGCAATGGCACTAAAACCCCATTATTAGAATTAAAATATGCATTGAAGGAAGGGCAGAATCAATGACGCATAAACTCAAACAAAAATGCGGTGGTAAGCACAGAAGTTTCCTTAGAATACAAAGAAAAGAACTAAGCAGGAAGAAGGAAATGAGAGCTACAGATGATAAAACCCATAAAACCAAGTTGAGGCTGAATGATGTTTCTGAAGAAAAGAATGAAATTAAAGAAAGTAGCAACAATCAAAGATAAAAGATTAAAAAAATTCTATGAGATGAAGAAAGTCATGTGTAAGCAGTTTCAATGGTTCACAGCTTAGTGGTTCACAGGAAAACCAGTGAAAAAAATGCATGCCTAGGCACATGATGATAACCTTTAAAAAGTACAAAGTTTTTGCAATCTATTCTTCTGACAAAGGTCTAATATCCAGAATCTACAAGGAATTTAAACAAATTCACAAGAAAAAAAAAACCATTAAAAAGTGGGCAAAGGACATGAACAGACACTTCTCAAAAGAAGACATTCATGTGGCCAAGAAACATGAAAAAAAGATTAACATCACTGATCATTAGAGAAGTGCAAATTAAAACCACAATGAAATACAATTTCACACCAGTTGGAATGGTGATTATTAAGAAGCCAAGAAACAACAGATGCTGGTGAAGTGCAGAGAGATAGGAATGCTTTTACACTGTTGGTAGGAATGGGAATACATGCACACATATTTTCATTGCAGCACTATTCACAATAGCAAAGACATGAAATCAACCCAAATGCCCACCAATGATAGAGCAGATAAAGAAAATGTGGTACATATACACCATGGAATACTATGCAGCCATAAAAAGGAACGAGATCATGTCCTTTTGCAGGGACATGAATGGAGCTGGAAGCCATTATCCTCAGCAAACTAATGCAGGATGAGAAAACCAAACAACATTATGTTCTTGTTTATAGGTGGAAGCTGAGCAATGAGAACACATGGACACAGGGAGGGGAACAACACACACTGCTGCCTATTGAGGGTTAGGGTGGGAGGAGGGACAACATTAGGAAAAATAGCTAATGCATGCTGGCTTAATACCTAGGTGATGGGTTGATAGATGCAGCAAATCACCATGGCACACATTTACCTGTGCAACAAACCTGCACATCCTGCAGATGTACCCTAGAACTTAAAATAAAAAAGTACAAAGTTGAGTGAAAAAGTCATCAAATTCTGCAATATGAGGCAACAAATTTTGATTATTCTTAGCAATATCCTTTGCAACACTAAATACCAAATGAAAATGGAGGAGTATCTGATTTATTGCTGAAAGTTGGCTAAAACATGTCCATGGGATCACTGCCAATTATTTCTGCCTAACAGATTATAAGAGGAGGTAAAACACACCCTACAAAACATATACACAGGGAGCGGACCAAACCTTTAGTGTTGGATTCCTCTAAATGATCTCAGATTATTCAACCCTGCTTAGAAGTTACAAGAGCAGAGAGCTGAAACCAACATGTTTCAGGCCTCTAAGATGGCCTCCAATAGTCTGCATGTCCTGGTACACACTACTGTGTAATCCCCCCCTTTGAGCACAGATTGAATTTAGTTATCCCCTTCTAATGAATAGAATGTGGTAGAGGTAGCATAATGTCACTTACAAGATGATTGGCTTCTGTCTCAGCCCTCTTTCTCTTCCTTGCCCTGAGGACTCCTGCTGTCATGTTGTCACCTGCAAAACTGAGATACCCACGTGGCAAGGAACTGAGAGAGGCCTCCATCCAAGAGCCTGTGCAGAACTGAGGCCCTTAGTCCAACATCTTATGAGGAAATGAACCCTGATTTCAAATTCCCCCCATTTGAACCTTCAGATGGGAATGCAGCCTAGGCCAGCATGTCAACTGCAGTCTTCTGAAAGGCCTTAGGCAGAGCCATCCAACTAAGCCATGCTCAGGTTCCTGACACAAAAACTAGGAGATAATAAATGTTTGCTTTAAGTCATTACATTTTGGGATAATTTGTTATGCAGCAATAAATAACCAATATATTACAGGTTAATAATGAATAAATTTAAGAGTAAGAAAATAGTAAGTGACTCTTTGATCTCTCCGTCTCTTGGCATTCTGAAATTTCTACCATATGGACAATTTTTGAATAACTGAAAATTACTCTTGGTCTTGGGAAGGAAGACGCCTTTAGTTTGAGCAAGAGCCTCATATACATATTAATACCATTATGTCTCTATGTACTACACAGATTTAGAAATCAGCTATTCAACCAATTAAACCAACAATCAATCTATCTTTAATAACAAAATAAAATGTCCAAAAGAAATCTGAAAATAGAAGATAGAATTAATATAGAAAATATCCTAAATAATTAAGTCTACCACCCCAGAGTTTATTTAGAAGGCCTGATAGCATAGTGCTAGAGATCACAGAAGCAGTGGCTATGCAAAGGTTATCTAGTAACTTAGGGCAAGTTACATAATCTCTCAATCCTTCCCCCCCCATCTGTAAAGCAGAGGTGTGACATGTAAAGACTATCACGGGGGCATGGTACCTACTCAGTAAATGTGACATACTATTATTACATTGTAAGAGGTAAAAAGTGGCAAAGAAGACAAAAATTAAATTTGCTTGACTTCTGATCTCAAGCACAGGCATCTCAAATACTGCTGTTTGAATCTTAATTCTGACAATTAAAAAACATAGGAAAAAAAATATTTTGAAAAATGGAAAGGTAGTAAAACGTACAGATTTCAAAACACCAGAGAAAATATAAGCAAAGAAAAAGCTCAAAAATGGAAACCTAAGTAACCATTTAAAAAACAATAAATTAGTGAAAGAAGTTTTAGACCAATTATATTAGTAATGATAACAAATAAGAATAGCTCTCTTAAGTTTTTAAGAAAAAAGTTTCATAAATTTGTTCAAAGAACAAAATATTCTCATTATATTAGTTTCCTAGAGCTGCTGTAACAAATTGCCTCAAACTAGGCGGCTTAAAACACAAAAATGTATCCTCCCACAGTTCTAGAAGTCCAAAATCAAGGTGCTGGGAGGCCCGTGCTCCCTCTGAAGGCTCTGAAGAAAAATCCCACCTGGTCTCTTTCTAGCCCCTGGTAGTTGCAGGCCATCCTTGGCATACTTGTAGCTGAAATGAAATAAAGTAGCAATAACACTTCGATTCCTGCCTTCACCTTCACAGGGCCATCTTCCACACAGTGTCTGTGGCTATGTTTCCTTGTAAGGACAAAAACGCTCTCCTTGTAAGGACACCAGTCATTGGATTTAGGGCCAACCCTAATCAACTATGACCTTGTGTAAACTCAATTACATCTGCAAACACTCTATTTCCAAGTGAGCTCACATTCACAGGTACCAGACACAGGTGCCAGGGGTTAGGACTTCAACGTATCTTTTGGGGAACACACAATTCAACTCACAACTACGTACTGTGTTCAAAAGGTATATACCTGAAAACAACTGGAAGCAATTTAAATATATGACAATAAGGAAACAGGCCAAATAGCATGCATCTATATAATCAAATATTTAAAATCTACTAAAACTTTGTGGAAGACTAATACATAAAAATATCAGTGATGTGATAAAACTAAAATTATTAAAATATAAATAGATGCTTAAATATGCAAAAAGATATAATGACTGCTAATTATGTATGTATATATATACAGAAAAATCTTAGGGAAAGTACACTGAAATATTAATCATCATTGACTTTGTTGGTAGGACGAGATGATTATTAGTTTCATCTTCATAATGTTCTATACTTTAAATATTTTATTACAGTTAAAACGCTTTTCTAGACTTTTGTAGTCTTTGCATTACAGCAGTAACAGTAAAGTATATTTTTTATACCCATCTTCTGATAGTTGTGAATATGCATCTGCGCTTTTTGAAGGGATTGAATCAATGTTCAAGGAATGTGCGGGATGTAGGATAGCTGTGGGTTTACTCATAAGGTAATAATGAAGATTATACACCAATGACTGGGTTTACAGTCAGGATCTCCTACTTGGTGGCTATGTGAACTTGGGCAAGTGGTCTAACTTTTTTTTTTTTTTCTGGAGTGCAGTGGCTCAATCTCTGCTCACTGCAATCTCCACTTCCTGGGCTCAAGCGATTCTCCTGCCTCAGCCTACCGAGTAGCTGGGATTACAGGTGCCCACCCCCATGCCTGGCTAATTTTTGTAGTTTAAATAGAGACAGGGTTTCACCATGTTAGCCAGGCTGGTCTCCAACTCCTGACCTCAGGTGATCCACCCACCTTGGCCTCCCAAACTGCTGGGAGTACATGCGTGAGCCACTGCGCCTGGCTGAGGGGCCTAACTTCTACGTGTCTCACTGTCCTAACATTAAAGCTGGATATATGATAGGGCTTGTCTCAGAACATCATTTTAGAAAGGTTTTTGCTCATATATTCAATAAGAATAATAAGTCAACTGCTTTTCACCGATAATTTGACCAGCAATTTCCTATGGAGTATCTGATAGTATCAGTAGTACTTTTGCACCAACCTAATATATTCTGATTGAGTACATTCTCCTGAAATGCAGTATGATGACTTCAATGACAAACAAGGCATAGTAGTCTGAAAGTGACCCCTTAGATATTTGTGTTTGTCTCTCCCCTACCAAATACACAGGTAAGTTTGATATATTTCCCAATATTCTTTGATATCCTTCAAGTGCCTTGATATAATAGTGATTTAATGTTAGAGACTTTCAGTTACTTTTCCAGCCCCCAGTAAAAAATGGCCACAGGTGCTGAGGGCCCTGATATTATCTGTTCCTGCTTTGCCCTGTCAAGCTGCATGTGCTGAAGGCCTGTGACACTCAGGTGTACCCAGCCCAGCTTCACTGAACTCTAGCCAGTGTGTACAGAGCACAGCGGTCTGGATTTGCCCACTACACTAATTCTGCTGGCAGGTATGCCTGATTTCTGAATCAGCAGCAGCATCCTGCTCACCCTGATTCATTCATGCAACAGATATTCATTGAGTGGGAGGCCCTGTACTTACTAGATGCTGAACAAAATTGCACCTGCCTCCTCGAGTTTAGTGAATTAAAGCACTAAACAAATACAGAATGATCCACTGAGATAAACACCAAAAAGAAAAATGATATGGTACAAAGACAGAGAACAAGAGGAAGAGGTGACCTGGTTAGATTGGGTAGTTGGGGAAGGCCTGTTTGTGGAGGTGACAATAAATTAAAAACTTCAAGGATGAAAGTAACCTGCCGTGCAAAGACTGGGAAAGACTGGCCCGGGAGAAGAAATAAATTCTGCTGCGTGAAGGTCCTGAACAGGAAAGCACTAGCCCAGTAAAAATGATAGAAATGAAGCCAGTGAGTGGTGCAGAGAAGGGAGGACAGATATGAGTTAGCTAAACAGAGACCAGACCCTGCAGCACTTGGTCTTGTAGGACACAGGAAGAAGTGCATTTTGATTTTGTTTTAATTTCACTGAGAAGGCATTGATGGGTTTTAAACAAAGAAAAAAAACCCAGCTATTTAAATTACATTTTTACAAAAGTGGCTGCTTTCTGAAAAACAGATAGAAAATAGATAATAGATAGAAAAGGGTAGAAGTGGAAAGACTAATAAGGAGGCTATGAGGAGTCCCAAGTGAAGCATAACGGGGCCTTGAACTAGTATGGTCACAGAGAATTGGAAGCATTTGAGCTTTATGTTGGGAAAGCCATAATAGAGTTATATTATATGTGGGGAAGAAGAAGTTATATTATATGTGGGCCATTGCTAGGATTCTTGCTTGAGCAAATGGCTGGCTGGTGGGGTCATTCATTGAGATAAGGATAGACTTGAGAAAATCTTGTTGGGGGTATCTGGTAGTGGTGAAGATGAAAAGGGGGACTAGAGTTCAGTCTTGAAAATGTGGTAACTGAAATACCTGCACATCCAGTATCCCAATGGAGATGAAAAGAGGCAGTTAGATATCCATGTCTGGAACTGAGACATGGGGTCTAAGCTCAGGATGAAAACGTGGAAGTTGTAATTGGAACTGCCTTGTGAGACAGTTACCACTGCGAATAGAGCCTGAGCCTGAACCCCAGCTTGATTGGCAGAGAAGCTGACCTCCCACCTGTTCCTCTTCACTGTGCAGTAGACCCAGATCTACCCTCGGATCCCACTGGATCCCAGGTGTTTGATATCGAGACTGATATGACCTAGAGATTCCTTGCCAGGCTTCTATACCAAAGGTCTGCCTCCTCCAATCTGAATCCAGTCTATACTGGACCAGGTGTCTGTGGTCTACCATGAGCGTGTATTTAAATGAGTATTAGCAGAAAGGTAGTGTCTTTCTGAGGAGGATGAATCCACAGTGCTTCAGGGAAGTAGGGTAGGAAAAATGTTGGAACAGATGGCCTTCTTTGCAAGCAATTGAATAGATATTGCTCATGTGGTGTGAACTGAGGAGTACACAAGAGAGGCAAGCCCTGATATGTTTATTTCATGTCCACTTAGTCCCCGGCCCTTTGTACATGGTGGGCCCTCCCACACCACATTCCAGCCTGGGAGACAGAAAAGAGCCACGGCCCACAGCACCAGGCTCTGGTGTTCTTCTAGGACTGTCCTCTCACTTGCTCTCTAGAACAATGAGGCTCTGATCTCCTTGTCCAACTCCCTAAGAGCGATGAGGACATTTTAGGCAGAGCAGCCAAAAGGACGGAAGGTGTGGAGTTAAGATGCAGCCCATGTAACAGCCACCAGCAGTTCAGTGTCTCTCCCCGCGAGGTAGGTGCTGACTAACAAAGGAAAAGGAGCAGGAGATAGCAGATGGGGGTACAGAACAGCAGCACCTGCTCTACAGAGCGATGTTGACTCATGAGATTAAAAGGCCTGCAGCGGGCAGGAAGAAGGGACCAGCAGGGGAAGCATGTTGAAATGTATCATGCTGTAAGCACTGGAGAACACCTGACACAGAAACACAGCCACAGTGCGGTTGAGGGAAGGTGCAAGATCTGCCTTGCCCGTGGACCCAGGTGCGGACAGGAGGCTGGGCTCGCAAAGCAACTCGGGTAAACCCCATAAGCCAGTCTGAGGAGGGCAAGTTTCGGTGACGGCAAGCATCACACAGGGTCTGCCCACAAAGGAAATGAGGAGACGAGGAATGACAGGAGCTTCCTCCTGCACACGGAATTCGAGGAGCTGCCAAACTCCCTAATAGCATGGCTCCCTAATAGCTGGCAACTGCCTGACAGTTCTAAGAGTGATGAAATCCAGAGATGAAAGGGCTTAGCATCCCTGAGCAGAGAGTGCCTGTGGGTGAGCCGACTGCTCATTAACCTGGGCTGAACACCCTGCATGGTTTCTTGGGATCAACAAACACAGCTGTAGGAAGTTTAAAAAATTGACACCTTTCTTGTGAAACATAGATCCACCCATGGTGGCCCACAGGGTTGTGAATCAAAGCTGAAATGCAGAGGCAATGTGAGGAAAAGCAAAAGCATGATCAGTAGTGAGTGGCTCCATAATCCAGAAAGCAGTGATTGAGGGGTAGCTGTGGGCACAGCCCAGAACCAGAGAGGCAGTAAGGAGAGAGAACATTCAAGGGGACAGGATCTTAATCTGGACATGGAAGGCACTTTAAGACAGATCAAGATCAGGAGACAGGGTGTTCGCTATATGGGGGAAATCAATAATGAACTGCCAAGGAATAAGGATTTATTTGTCAGAGTTTCTCCCAGGAAACCTCCGCCATCTTTCCCCCCTCCTATAGTTTCAGAACTTACAGAGAAGCTGATGCAGGAGTCAGTTAGGGATCAATCTATCATCTTTATTACTAGTAAACCTGGACCAGAGAATGTGGCTAGTATCTGAGGTCACGATCAGACTTCCTACCTTCCCGCACCCATCCCAAACGACAGGTTTTCCAGAGGCAGACGCACAGCTTGCCCAGTAAGATTAGCACAAAGGGAAAGAAGAACATGTCCTGCCCGCAGGCAAACTGGGCTGACAGAAAGCAAGCCCCAGGGGGCTGAGCCATAGAAAGTCAGCTACTCTCCCCAGTTAGGCAATCAGATAAGTCCCCCCTTTCCTTTGGGAGGGGGCTGGCAGGAAGGGTGAAAGCTTCCTCCCTTCCTAGTATTTCCAGAAGGACAGATGTTTCCATTTTACGGGCCTCAGTAGGGATGCCTGGAAAGGAAGAAAATTAGCCTCCTTCCATTGTACTGGCATATATCGTCAGATTGTACATTCTGATATTTAGAGAAGAAAAATTCAAATGAGCTAGGAGAAGGCCTAGAGATTTTTTTGATCCACTTGTTTTCAAATGTTTTCCTTTTAGCATTGAACTCTTTCTTCAGATACAAAACAAAAGACAGAGGTGTTCTTGTTGAATGGGACAAAAACGTAAGAGGTGTGGGAAGTCCAGGCTCAACTAAGAGGACTCCCCTCTCCTCCCTAGCACCATCCAAAAGCAACTCAGAGGAACCCGGCACTTCACACTATAGTTTCCAGACCTCTGAAATGGTTCTACTGCACTGGAAAAATGTTAAGCAGAGAAGTTATGTGACTGCCCAAATTGCACAGCTGAATCAATGGTGGAGGTACTCTACTAGGATCCATCACGGTTTGGCTCATCTTGACAAGGTCCTAAAATCAACACAGAGAGCTTCAAGTCACTTGAAAGGGACTTATATTATTAATACCAGTCTAATTTCTTCTTATCTTGCAATATACCTCATATTCTGATGCCCATAGGTCTTAGAGGAGGCTGTACCTAGCCAGGAAGTTCACACTGAAAAATATCACTAAAAAGAGTTGTGCCACTGCCAGTAATACAGATCTTTGCAAAGTGGCAAGTAATTATAATCCAGATGGTTTAACTGGAGGAAAAGTGATGAGCTAATGGAGCTTCCAGTCACCTCCAACACAATAATTTGAATAAGGTGTCTTTTTCTGGTTTTGTTTTTGTTTTTTTGCCGCCCCTTGCCAGAAGGGACCAGTCAACAAAAACAACCATTTGTCACAATGGGCAGCTGCTAATTCGACCATATTGCCCTCACTATAACCCTGGCTTTCCATGAGCAAGGAGGCGGTGAGGTGGGTGTTTCTAAACAAACAGAAAAAAACCAATTCGGCTACTGCATGCAGAATCAGGTTGAATCACATGAAATCCAATGAAATGGAAACACTGAATCACATGTTTTTGTAAATCATAAATGGCCAAATACTGGCACTTTAATATGTTTCAACCTGTATTTCACTGGCCTGGTTCTCAACTGACTCTTACCTTCCAGTATTCCAAATAACAGGCTTTAGTCCCTTGTTCATCCCTGATTCTGCCTCTTAACTTAGGACAGGGACCAGTAAATATAGTGCAGCCTTCTACTTAAGGTTCTGTGGACTGAGCATGTCACAGGAGTTATATCATGCCCTTCCTCCAGCTAATACTGGTTCTTGTCCATTCCCTTCCTTCTCCTTACCCTCAGTTCATGCCCACACACCCACAATCATACAGAGACTGCTGAGACCACCAACTCATTTCATACCAACTGCCAAACACTTTACAGAATACAGAAGAACTTTCACTACTTTCAGAGGTCACAGGAGGGCCAGGAACCAAGGTTTAGTATCTCTGCATTTGATCACTTATTCTTCCCAAGAACATCATCGAAAGTATATAAAAACATTTATTTCTATTATCCCCTTCATAATTATATCCACGGCATAATCTCTGCAAAAGCATGTGCATGCTTTAAAAAGCCAGTGAGTGTCAGGGGAATTCAGATCATCAGACGTTGGCAAGCCAGAATATCACTATTACCAAACTTACTTTACAAAACAAAGTGGAGGTAAAGACCACGGGAAGGGAAATTCAAACATCAAACAGGATTGATGGGTTTATCATCATCGCACTACATTACAGAGTGACCTCTGCAGACTGGAAATTGGGTTACATCAACAAACCTCACTTTAAAGTGTGAGATGAAAGAGTGCCTCCCCTAACGTTTTGTGGTATAACTGGCTCACGTTTAAAGAAAGTATGCAGCCAGGTACCCGTGTCACATTTCAATCTGTGATATTGACATGGATGTGAAAACCCAAGCCTTTGAAACTGAGCCTTTCATAAGTTCAACAAAAACCTGAAACGCACTCTCCTGCGAAGACCTGAAGGACAGAGAAGGTAAGATGATAAAGGGGAAACCTTTACACATGGAACATTTTTGAATTTTCCTGCCATGGGCCATAACTCAAGTGTGTCAAAGTAGAGCTTAGCTCAAATAATTGACATTGGTTTGTTTGGTTTTCCTCGATCTGAAGGCTTACCTGCCTTGTAAAGATTCCAAAACATCAGCAATGTGTTGCCAAAGTAAGGAAAATTATTAGGGTAACAGAACCAGCCATACTTAAGTTGGATTCAATTATCCAACCCCACCGCACCCAAGAGTGCCCTCTTGTCATTTATTTATTTAGCCAAACTAATTTCTCTGTTGGTTTGGCAAACTCTCAGGCAAGCAGTGAAGAGCTCAGGCATTAAATGCAAACTTCATTAACCCACTGCAAATGATCTTCATATTTTTTCGATAATGTTCCAAAAGGAAAATGTCTCTGCCCTTTACTTTCAATTTTTAGTCTTTTGCTTTATAGAATACAGAAAAACTATAATTTCTAGATTTAATGTAGAAATTAACAGATACCAAGCCAAATGTCTTATCCTTTGGTTTTATTATTTGGTGTGTATATAGGAAATGAAGGGACTGCAGAGGGAGGGATTTCTCAGCTTCCCATAAATCATTTGAAACAAGGTCCTCAGACTCTGCCCACTTGTGACTTTAAGGTTAAGAAGGGGAAGAGAGATATCACGAAGGGTATTTGAACTTCTTGTAAACAGGGATAAAAGGCTATTTGTTAATATCTGTTGATGCAAAAAAGTCTCCAATAGTAAAACACCAAAATGTCCTGATAGTTTTAAAGTCTTGAAAATATCTCCAGCCCCAGGTCCTTCCTTGGCTTCCAGCCAGGTCCAAGTCCCCTTTACCAGGAACACAACCCCAGGATGCATTACGCTTCCTAATTCTTCATAGTCTGCTTCATTTGGCAAAGGACCTAAACCTAACCACAACAGTTAAAAAGAAAGACTTGCATTCTACTATAAAATATACAAATCATGAAATGTATACAACTAACAAAAACAGTTTCGGTACTACTTGATGAGAAGAATTTTGTGGGGGGTGTGTGTGTGCATGTGTATGTGTTTTTTAATTCAGCATTCCAGTAATGTGAAACCACTGTTTAAGGTAGAAAATCATTTTTCAATCTCAGGAAACATCGTTACTAGCTGCCAAAAGTCAATCCATATAATAAGAAATATTTGCTAATGCTGAACACCTGCACTTTTATAGATAGCCTCTCAGGACAGCTGTGGCTGAGTCTTCAAGTCTACCAATACAGCAGCCAAGTAAAAACACAAAATTTTAGATAAGAATGCTTGTTGAATTAGCCATGCATGTATCTACACTAAGTGTAGTATATTTATTGGTGGGCTCTGACAGTTATTAGATACAATAAAGTACAATACAAAATATATCCAGGATAAGGTTTCCAGCTGCTAAATGCTTATATCTTGAGGTGGTAAGATACACAAATCAAAACATACTAAAGGTATAAACATATATCATGCTTATGGAAGCCATGTGTAAATATTTATTTCACTTCCCATGGTTAGATTTAACTTTTTTAGTTTCATTGTTTGATTTTTCTGACTTGCTGGGTTTAAGAGGAAAAGGCAGCCACCAGAAGTCTGAGGGAAGGATTCATTAAGAAGGTGCAAGAATTGTTTTATGTCTTTCTGAAATGAGTTCTAGCAAGTGCCTTAAGGATAGTTTACACTTTCTTGCATACTATTCAAACACCATGATGCTGAATCTTCATAGCTTTCTAATTCCATTAGTCTTCTCTAACCAATCAAGCAAGAGACAGAGAAAGATGACTTTAAAATTATTACTATAAATAATAAAAAGCATTTATTGAGTATCGACTAAGAACCAGAAACTGAATGACATCCTTTACAGACAGTGAGTTTAATTCTTACAACATTCTGAAAAAGCAAGCCAGACGCAGTGGCTCACGCCTGTAATCCCAGCACTTTGGGAGGCCGAGGTGGGCGGATCACCTGAGGTCAGGAGTTCGAGAACAGACTGGCCAATGTGGCGAAACCCCGTCTCTACTGAAAAAAAAAAAAAAAATTAGACGGCATGGTAATCCTGTAATCCCAGCTACTCAGGAGGGTGAGGCAGGAGAATTGCTTGAACCCACGAAGTGGAGGTTGCAATGAGCCAAGATCGCGCCACTGCACTCCAGCCTGGGTGACAAGAGCATGACTCCTTCTCAAAAAAAAAAAAAAAAAATCTGAAAAAGCATATATTATTACCTTTCTTTTACAAGCAAATAAATTGAAAATCATAGTAATTGATGTGACCGTCTCAAGTTAGATATTTGATAAGTCAATTCTTATCTGGTAATAGAACTGGAATTTAAACTCAAGTTCATCTGCTGTGAGATATTGTGGCATTTCTTCTGTGTTATACTTCCTCTTTTGCCAATATTTAATTAGAACTGATTTTTTTGCTGGGCGCTATACTGGGAATGTAGCGGTAAATTAGGCAGATGTGGTCCTGCCATCACAGTTTACGATCTAGCCCGGGAGACAGACCTACAAGGAGTACTAATAAGTAAAATTTGGGCTATAAACAGATAGTATAGCATACAAGAGGACAAAAGGGGAACCTGGCCAAATGATATAAATTCTGCATTCTGCACAAGATGCCACAGAAAACTATTTGCTGAGTAATCAACTTCATCCTCTAAACTTCAAGTCATCCCACTGTTCACCCAATTCAATCTCAATAGCGTGAGATTTCTATTTAAATAAAGTGTTTTCCAATCAGTTTTCTTTGGTTTCTCTGATTTCAGCAGGGCCAGGTAGAATAATTAGATTAGAGGTACTGGATGGGTTCTTAAATTTCTTTCCTTGGATTTCAAGCCTTTCTAATGCCTTTGCCTTGCAGCACACGTCCCACCTACATCATTTCTGACGTACCCTATTACTCCCTCTCCTTCACCCAGTCATGACCTGTTTATCCCCATCACACCTCCAGAAGGCAATCTGACATCACAGGCATTGCATCCCTACTACATCATTTTCCTAATATACACCCTGCTCCTTTCCTCCCTTACTGGCCCCTATAGCACTTTGCACACAAGGATGGAGCAAATCCCCAAAGGCAGAAAGGACAAATTCATATTATTCTTGGGTACTGGGTCTTCTCCTCATACTAAGCAGAAAAGTCAGAATGTTTCTGGCAGCACCCTAATCAAGCTTTTAACACCTTGGAACATGTGTTCAGTCATTTCTGTCTTCAGATTTTTTCAAAAGCAAATACAAGCCATGTAAAGCGCTGAGATTAACTAGAATTCTTTAATATGCACAGGATAGATGACCTCTGCCTGCAGACTACACTCTCATGAGAGTGATCCAGCCAGAGCTTCACCTACTCTCTTTCATCAAGGAAGCATTTCAGAATGCAAATAAGAGTAATATTATTAAAGCAAAAAGCTTGAATCTGCTCAATTTTTAAAAAAATAAACCACTTGAATTCACTTAACTAGTAGTAATTAATTGCCTATGTTTTACAACACACCTCACAGCCAAGGCACTGTGTTTACAAACCTGCCACCAAAACAAGTGCCGGATATTTGAAGGCAGTGGCTAGTAACCCTGCACTCTAAAAGCAACTTACTGTTCAACAGAGGTAAGCTACAGAAACAGGGACTGACAGGAGGGAGCTCTTTTGTGGCAAATTAGCTGAAATCATAAGTAGTTCAGATAAAATGCACCACATATGCTCAAATACACACCCTATAGCCTCTTCTAAAAATTTCAACCAGTATCAGGACAGATAATAATGCAATCAAGTACTTACAAATACTCTGTACAAGTCATTAGAAGAAACACTGTGTTACTGAGCCCAAAGCTTTCCTTCCACATTGGCTGATTGTATAGAAACGTTATGCCTTCTAAACCTTTCATACTAAAAAATCTTCCAATCACCATATTATAATCTCAAAGAAGCATATTTCATGCTGTTAGCATAATAACCAATTAGTTAATGTGTGAGTATGATCACTTTTATAAAACTAAGAAACAAGAGAGGTAAATACATGACAGCATCTGTCCAGGTTCTCAGTTAGAAGCAAAACATGGAGAGACTAAGCTGTGGTGTTCCTACCAGAGGACCATCACGCTGAAGTGGGGGTAGCCAGTTTTCTCAGTCTAGAGAGCCATGTGTTCTAGTAGTTTGCTGACTAGGATCTGATGTTAAAGAATTAACAACAAATATCAAAAAGATGTTTTAAATCAAGGAACTACCCTAGTGTCTGGGGTCAAGGGGTCCTCCCCGTTTCCTATCAAACACTTCTTTCTTCCTTTAGAGATCCTGGTTCCTATGCCTCAGCCATACCTCTCCTTGATGCAAGATATTAGATTTCAATGTTTCAGGGGAGGCTGCCTTGTGTGGCAAGACACCAAAGGACCTTCTATTCACTAGGTGGTCAGTCTTAGCACATTCTCACCAAGTCCCAGTGTCACTCTGTGAGCCATAAGGATATCTGGCTTTTCCCATTCCCAGCAAACAGAAAGATGAAGCTGAATTGAGAAGTTGAAAATCTCCATTATGATTTCCCTTTTACATATTTTAGTGAGTTTTCCCTGGAGGGAAACAAAATTATGAGTTCATCAAACATAAATGGGAAACATGAGCTTCATCAGTCATCCCCGCATATTAAAAGTAGCTCCCCTTTCGGGTTGCTCATGAAATAAAATTGGTAATAGCTTATTCCCAAACTTTTCTAGATCTTTTAGCCCCAGGAGCACACAGCAAAAGTCACCACTCCTTTCACTAGTAATATTTCCTTCTGCCTTTGTGAAATCCTTGCCGGGAAAGGAGGGGTTAGGGATATCTTTCTGAATATTTTGGGGACATACATGTATCCAAAAGGACCATTTAAAAAATTTTAAGACCAAAATAGGCATGATTAATTAGAATGGATGCAGACAATATGGCTTTTTAAATTGTGGTAAACTATATATAACATAAAATGTATCCTTTTAAGCATTTTAAGTGTACAAAATACATTCACAATGTTATATAACCATCACCACTCTTCACTACCAGAACTTTTTCATCATCCCAAATAGAAACTCTGTACCCATAAAACACAAGCTCCCCGTGCATCCTGCCCTAGTTCCTGGCAGCCTCTAGTTTACTGTCTTTAAGAATTTGCTTATTCTAGGCACCTTTATAAGGACTACAGTGCTTTTAATGTCTGAAAATTCTTTGTCACTCTTTTACATCAAAGAGTTTCCCTTCCCTTGACTGTGGGCCTACCTTAGTGACACATTCCTAATGAATAGAATGAGGTAGAAGCAGCACTGGGTAAATTGCAGGCTCAGACAGAGGCAATACAGCTTCCACCTGACTCCCTCCCCACCTCTCCCTGGAAGCCAGCCTCCATACTCTGAGAAATCCAAGCAGCCACATGTAGAGGTCAAGGGGGTTCTGGCCACAGCCTCAGCTGAAGACCCAGTCAACAGCCAGCATCAACCACTAGTCATGTGAGGGAGCCTTTAGCTAATTCCAGCCCCCAGCTTTAGAGCCACCTCAGCCAATGTCATGTGAAACAGAGACAAGCTGGCCTCATCCAGCCCTCCCCAAATGTCAGATTCATAAGCAAAATAAATGTTATCATTTTGTGTCCAAAATGTAGGGGTAGTTTGTTATGCAGCAATAGAGATTTGGAATACCAACCAGTCGTGGTGAATGCTGGCCAGTACATCACATAGGTATATATCAGCTGAATATCTGTGCTCCACGTATCCCATAGAATAGATCAAGCCAAAAATTCACAAGCCAACTCCAGGGAATCCTGGAGACAATATGGCTGTGGAATATTTAGGTCAATTAAGTCCACAGTAACTTAAATCCAAAGTTAAGGTAGGAAGGAATCAACAGTCTTGAATCATCCAGTGATACCTGGGTATCTGCACAATGGTGATTAACATTCACACATTGATTGGGAGAAAACAAAATTCAGCTTTTGGCTATTTTGATAACTTGCCCCTTCGTTTAATAAATATTGGCAATAAAAACAGATTAATAGGAGATCTCAGTGGCAGAAGAAGAGACAATAATGCAGACAGATTCTGTTCTGGCAACAACAGGACTGAAAGAAATAAATGTTTCAAAATATTCCCTTATTTGGAGCTTCAACACAATGTGTTTATATAGAGATTCTTATTGCTATTTTGTGTTAATTTAATTTGATTAGCATTCAATGTTTTTTCTGGCTGATAACTCATGACTTTCTTTAGTTCTAGAAACTTCTTAGCTGTTGTCATCTGTTGTATATTGTCTTTTCTTCACTCTTCTGAAATTCCTGTATTTCATGTCTCAGTTCATCCCCTGATGCTCTTCTCTTTCATAGTATATCCAACTTTTTCTTTCTGCAATATTTTATGTAATTGACTCAATCCCTATGTGTTTTTTTTTGTTTTGTTTTTTGTTTTTTTCTTTTTTGGAGACAGAGTCTTGCTCTGTCACCCAGGCTGGAGTGCAGTGGTGCGATCTTGGCTCACTGCAACCTTTGCCTCCTGGGTTCAAGTGAGTCTCATGACTTAGCCTCCCAAGTAGCTGGGACTACAGGCACTGGCCACCATGCCCAGCTAATTTTTGTATTTTTAGTAGGGACAGGGTTTTACCATGTTGGCCAGGCTGATCTTGAACTCTTGGCCTTAAGTGATCCACCTGCCTCGGCCTCCCAAAGTGCTGGGATTGCAGGGGTGAGCCACCGCACCCAGCCTCAGTCCCATTTTCATTAACTGTCACTTCAACTGCGTTCGATCTATTATTTATTCTCCTAATTAGAGTCTTTTTCAAACATTTAAACTGTATGAAAATTTTATTTACAAGATTTGTGATGAGTTATTGGCTGTATTCATTCATATTAATTTCAAAAAATTTGCTTTCTCTTGACAATCTCTTTTTACTACTTAATTTGGATACTCATTCCTTTTTTATCTTTTCAAAGATTTATAAAATAATTTTCAAATAACTTGAGCAATGCATGATAATGTCTATTTCCTTAGGTGTTAATGCTTCCCATTTGTTGGGTGCACTGGCTATCTGCCTTAAATTCCCTCGCGTTTTAAAACTTGGGCTTGTAAGCTCTTCTTGCCTAGGAAATTTTGTTTTGCTTCATTGTTTTTATCTCTTTCTAAACTTGCCTACCTGTAGTGGATAGTTTGACAATTGCCTCAGCCCTGACACCACAGTCTACAGTGCAGAACCAGGTCTTATAGTAGAAGTCCGGGATCTTGCCAGGAGGAAATCATAGTTCCAGTTCCTGTGGGATCACATGGAGGCACCACTGGAAAATCCACTGGAATGAGCAGGTAGCTGATTCCTCTCTGGGCCACATCATTTCTACCACAGCCCTTGACATCACACAGAGCAGTAGCCCTCGAGATGCACCGCGGTGGGTTGCATTTAGTGTCTCATGGGGTTTGGACGATAAGGGTTAGATTAGCTCCCTCTTTCCCGTCTCAGTGCCCCAGGCACTTCAGCGCCAGCTCGCCATGTGTTTTTTCACTGTGTTTTTGTTCAGCAGAAATTTTTATTTTAAATTCTGCTTTATCAGTGAAACTCTATTTTTTAAGTGTTTTTTTTCCTCCAACTCTCTGTGTTCCAAGTAGATGGAGAGGCACTCCCTGCTTTGTGTTCCACGTGTACTCACTCTGCCATTTTGACTATAGAGGCAAGAATCAGAATAAGAGTGATTCTTTTCATTTCCTCAAGTTAGCATGACGATCCCTATATTTTCAGAGATAAAATTTCATATTTATCATGATGGACAGAAGAAGGTAAAACAAGCATATCATTGCATAAAATGATATATTTGCTCTAATAAAGAACTAAAAATAATATTATGATGCAAGTATTATAGGTAATGCAAAGGTCTGATAAATATTTGATTCAGTGCTAACTTTTAAATATATATGCATGTATATTTATGCAAAACCAGAAGATACGTAGAAAATCACACACATTGTATTCCTCACATAGGACATGAACCTTTCACAGATCTCCTAAGCTACCTTTATGAGCCTTTAAATCTTTGGAATTGGTGGGTTTTGCTTGAGATTCATTGCATAAACAACTTTCTGGCCAGGTGAGGACTGGCTCTTTGGTTATAATTTTCAAAGATAAGACCTGATTGCTTGATTTTGTACCAAGCACCTGCTAAAAGGTATCGCTTTCCTGGCTAAAAGTGCAGGTGATTTGACATATGCACTGACTGACAAGAGACTTCATATAAATACTTGTCTACATGTCAGTTCATTGTGAACAAACTTTAATATGTTCGAAATCCTGAGTCAAGTCAGCCCATTTCAGTGTAAGCCCATCTTTCTGCAAAGAAATGTGTTTTGGCATGCAGGATATATCAGTGAATGTTTATTTTACTTAAAAAATGAAGGAGAAATGTTCTTTTGATCCTCAATACTAAGTATTCAATAGACTTAAAAGAGAAAAAAATATAGACACTTTTGGTTTCGATATTATTTAAAAGTGTCTGTACAGAAACTCAGAAGCAAAGTTACTGAGCATCTTCACTAGGTGATAAAAAGAATGAGTAAGATATACACAATTCCTCCTCTAGCCAATTTTATAATATAGTTATCTTGTGCTATGTGATGAATCTCTTATAAATCACTCAATTCTCTTCTCTCTCTCTGTCATAGTTTTTGAAGCTATCCTCCTAGGGATAGTGCCTTGCACATATTGTGTTCCCATAAATATGTGTATAATGAATGTGGTACCACTAGAAGCTCAAGATGAACCAACATGGCTTGACTTTTATTTTTAATTAGCTAAAGAAAAACCTCTTTATAATAGAGTCTGTATCCAGACTCATGAAATGTACAGGTCACTAAATTTAGGCAACCCTAGTGACACTTAAGAATACTCATGCACTTCAATTTCAAGTGAACTTGTATACTAGTCTCTTTTGCTTAAAAATTCTAAATGGAAGACTTTAAATCTCTATTTTGAAGATGTAGTGAAAAATAAATCATATTTTCAACTACTTGTGTGACTGACATATACTTGACATTCAAATCTTTTTTGAACAAATGAATGAATGAATATGGTTTTACATTATCTGTATGGAAACAGATACATAACATTCTTTTTCTTCTTACTCAGGCATAGAACAGCAAGCAAGTCAGAAGAAAGAAACTGGTCGGGTAACTCCATATTCCTTTTTCATGTCTATCTAGTATGTCTTCATGTTGAGTGACTAGGAAATGGAAAATAAAGTACAGATGATGAAAATGGACTAAAAAATAAAAATGAATAAATAAAGTACAGAGGAACAGATGCCTGAATACCACCACCCATGGCAATCACAGACCACCTAAGGAGACTCAGAGGCAGAAGATTCAGAGAAGCAGGTTTGGCATTTACTAGTTATACACCACATGCCAGGCCCATTGTCTAAGGCCGTAATTCTTACTTTCCAGCAAAAGGCCAGCAGCTTTTCAAGGCTTGAGCTTATCAAGGCTTCAGAATGATGCTGACACAGGGCAGGAAAGAATCAGGACTTCCATCCCATGAGGGAGACAATGTCAAACAAGAATAGGTCATCCTGAGGGTCCACCTGTGCCAAATGCATCCCACTCATATTTATGGTGGACACAGTATGTATAAAGCACCATTTCCAGGCCCTGGAGATCTTGTGGGAAATGAGATCCTGCTCCTGGGGCGCTAGCATTCCAGGAGAAGAGTTAGAGAGGGCTCTCTGGCTTGGGAGCATCTGCAGGGATTAAGGTCAGAGTCCAAAGAAAAAACTCAGTAACTTCAAAAATCAAGTTGGGGATGACCCTGGATTATCAAAAGTAAAAGTTCAAATCCATGTAGCAATGAGGTAAATCTCTATTTTCCTAGAAGAAAAGATAGGAGCCTGTTCATGACCACGGGAATATCAACTCAGTGGTCTTCTAGCCTTCTAGCTATGTCCTATGAGAAAAGACAGGAGCCTGTCCATGGTCAAGGGAATCTTAACTCAGTGGTCTTCTAGCTACCTCTGTCAAACCCTACCCAGGCTTTTGAGATGGAACTGCCCTTATGTCTCAGGAGACATGGACATCTGCAGGCAGAATCCGATCTAAGCAGTCTGTGGCATTACCTTATTGATTTCAAAAAGTAAGGTCTAAACATGGATCACTTCTTCCCCTCTATGGTTATCCAGACCCAATCCAGGCACGGGATTTCAGATCATGAAAGGACTAGCTTTTACCAATTTGTAGGGAAACTGCTGATTTAGTTCTTTGATGAGTGAAAACCATCAAATGTTGAATTTGTTGAATGGTGAAACTAAATCTAAACAGCTGGTGGCAGGAAAAACAAATGTCACATGGTAATCTTCACTCCTATTCAGGATGCATTTTATATCCAAAACTTATAACCGTCCATACACAGCCAAGCTTAGGAAGAAAGGGTGTTATTAAGCATAAATCAAATCAGGAGTCTATGCTGAAAGCTAAATGGTTTCTTGTTACACGTAAATAATGCTGAAAAAAAAACAGAATCACTGAAAGTAAAGCTGTGCAATACATTTATGCCACAATAGAGTGCTCATGAAAACAAATACTCTCTCCTGTTTTCATATGTTTGTTCTTTCCTATCATTCTAGAACACAGGGTTAGGGAGACAGGAAGCAGTAGGATGAAATAAAATAACTTTGGACTTTACAGTCAGAAAGATTTGGGTAAGAATGTCAAGTAACCACGTACTAGATGATGTGGTCAAATCACACAGCCACTCTGAGTCTCAATTTTCTAATCTATAAACAGAGATACTGACACCCATATCATAAGATTTTTGTACAAAATTAACGAGTCTCCCACCCACCCCCCCGACCCCGTGTGTGGGTCTCATATACATCTACACACACAAACACAAAGACACACAGACCAGTTTATAAATCCCCACTGTGTTAGCTCAGAATCTTGAATATACTTTATTATACAACTTTTAAAGTATTTGCTATAAATTTACCTTTTCTATTAGACTGAGAGCCCTTTTGGGGGACAGGAGATGTATCATATTGTCTTTCTGTCATGAGGATTCAGAAAGTTATTGGCATACAGTTAGTCAGAAAAAGTTACTTCATGTTTTTGTTTTTTTAACATTTATTATGCTCATGTCCTAAGAGTGCTCTTCTCCATTTACTGAGATAGGATAGCATCTAAGTTCCAATATTCCATTATGCACAGGCAAAATCTTTTTTTTAACCAAAAACAATATTACAAAAAGAGGTCCTACTATTTTTTAGTTTCTGCTTATCCTTTCTGTTGGTCGCTCTTTCTTCTGAAATAGCATCTCTGTTCTCCATTGGGTCAGGCGACTGTGAGCAGATAGCAGGTATTTTATAATGTCAACTAATCAAGCCATGGATGAAGAAGAAAAGGACCCAGTTCCCCACTTCCAGAGGGTCAACGGGAAGCAGGGCAGGGGCTTCCCTCTGTGTTGTGACTTCATACGTAGCTGGTATTACAAGACTTTGGGTTTGTGCTAAGGAACATCACTGAAGGAGAAATAGTAGATGAAATGAGAAAGCAGCTCACAGGAGACAGGTTTCCCTGTAGCATAAAGAACAGTTTGGAGGAAGTGATGGGAGGCGCAAAGCGTAGGATCGCTCTGGCTGGTTGAGGAGGAAGTGAGGAGTGTTCCATGCCTTAGTATAAATTTAAAATCATGAAGCAAGAAGTCAGGAGTCAATGGCAATACAGGCTGGTAATCCCCAAAACCGTTCTCTCCTGAAGTGCTAGGCTTTTATTTCTCCAATGAAATTGGCCTCAAAAATTTAGAATGTCTCCTTTCAAACCCTGTAGCTTCTCACTGCAACTCTGCAGGTCACAAAATGAGCTCCTCTTGTGGATTAACAGATCTTTTCAAGAGTCATGAACATTATCCTTCCAGGGTAATTTTACATGTAATATAAAATTTATCCATATGCAAAAAGTTACATGTAATTTACATACGGATAAAACATATAGATTTAAAAACTGGTATTTCTTAATACATAAACCTGACAGAGGAGGCAGTCATTAACTCTCATCACTAATTCTGAACAATAACTTTCCCTGGCCCCTTCTCAAATAAATTAACTTTATTCCCATCTCAGTTACTCACAGATGACATGACCTCGAGTAACATATTCTCCCTCTATAATGGCCTTCAAAATTGACCACCTCCTCCTGCCGTTATCCAGCCCCCTATTCCTGCCACATAGGATTATTTGAGATCCACACACATTATTTTCATTGCTATATCCTAAAAGCCCTCTGCCTCTTGTCTGTGAGGCAAACTCAGAGTCTACTTTCAAGGCTTTCCTCAAAGCTCTTCATCTGAGAGTCTCCCCTGACCCTCTGACAACTCTCAGGGAGAGCATCTACCCTCACTCCTGGTTTATTACTTACTCTGTGTGACAGATTCTGTCATGTCTAATGACTGGCTAAATTATTTAGATCTGACATGCCTTGAAGAGCAGCACACAGGTTTTTCTCTATCATTCATTGTTTCAAACCACATAAATTATGCTTAGTAAGTGTCGGCTGTATGTAGCTGTTTGAAAGATAGGCATGAACTGCGCTGAAATACTCAAGAAGGAGCTTTGGAAAGGCCAGGGTTCCTGCATTCCATCCCAAGTTAACTCAGTCAGAACCTATGAGGAGGAACCTAAGAGTCTGGCAGGCATGATGGACAGTGAGATTTGGGAACCAGTGCTGTAAAACGAGGATGCTGAAACAGAGTAAATCCTATCACCTGAGGTCAGGAGTTTGAGACCAGCCTGGCCAACATGGTGAAACCCCATCTCTACCAAAAATACAAAAAATTAGCTGGGTGTGGTGGTGCACGCCTGTAGTCCCAGCTACTAGAGACTCTGAGGCAGGAAAATCGCTTGAACACGGGAGGCACAGGTTGCAGTGAGCTGAGATTGTGCCACTGCACTCCAGCCTGGGTGGCAGAGTGAGACTCCATCTAAAACACACACACACACACACACACACACACAGAACAAAACACACACACCCAAAAACTGAGTAAATTCTAAAGCGTTGAATGCTATCCACTTTCAGAGATAATTAAAAACCTGAAAGGAGGAACATTATTTTATCTTGTACACACACTTCATTTAAACTTGCAGTTGTTGGTGTTAAGAAAAGAGCAGGATTCAACGTCAGGTGAGATCTTTCCATTCAAGATGGCAGGCGTTCCTGAGTGTGCTCTCATCTGGCCAGAGGGCCTGATCTAGATGTCCCACCTGACAGGAACCCCCAATTTAAATGGCATACTCTGATTACTGAATCACAGCTACAAAACCAGTGGTTCTAAACGAGAACAGTGTAGATGTTTTGTGAGTATGGTTATTGAGGGAGACATTTGACAAATCACTGGACTGGTGCTAAATGATCCAACCGCCTAGCATACCTCTGATGAGCACCTTGCATTTCAATAAGCCTATTTAAACAACAAAACATTTGCAGTAGTCCCCTTTATCCAAGGGGGATATGTCCCAAAACCCCAGTGGAAAGTTTAGGTTATTAAAATAGAACAATTATAACAATACACTGTAATAACAGATATGTGGATATGGTCTCTCTCTCTCAAAATATCTTATTGCATATCATATTTTCCAATTAGAGTTGATTTCAGCAACCAAAATTACACAAAGCAAAACTACAGATAAGGGGGGACCCTACTGCACAATACATTTAAATATAAAACCACTCAATATAGTAAGCATTGATAACATGAAACCCGAAGTCCAAAAGGCAATAACTGTTATATTCAAATAAATGCAGGCCACATGTTTCAATTTGAGGATGTCAATGCTGTACTCAATTCCTGCCAGACACATTTAGAGAGCCCTCCTGCCATTTAGCCCTGGCAGAGAAGTTTCATGTCATGGTGAGGCAGGAGAATAGTGTCTGGAGGCAGGGAACCTAAGGCTGTTTCACACTGACTTCCTAGAACTAAATTGAAAGGAAAACCCTAACTTTCCATGCCTAAGTAACAAAAGGACCAGAAGCTACTCCCTTTGCAAACCCCCACCTTTTCTGCAAGGCAGATGGGAAACTGAAACTACCTCTGATTGGTTGCTTTTTGCAACCAATCAGATATTTTCATAGGAGTGTAACTTTGAAACTTCACTTCAGCCTGCTGTCTGCAACCAATCAGACTGATTGTGGGCCAAGTCTTTGTTTGCACAGAAGTGCAACTTTGTAACTTCATTTTAGCCTCTGATTGGTTGCTTTCCACAACCAATCAGATGTTTGCGTAGGAATGTGACCTTTGTAACTTCACTTCAGCCTCTGATTGGTTGCTTTCCACAACCAATCAGACTGATTGTGGGCCACCACTTCATTTACATGGGATGAACACCAAATGGCCAATAGGAAAGCTCTAGCAGGTATTTGGACCCAAGAAGATTCTGTATCCACAGCCCTTGAATGGCTGCTCAGGACCACTCCCACACTGTGGGGCATACTTTCATTTTCAATACATCTCTGCTTTTGTTGCTTCATTCTTTCCTTGCTTTGTTTGTGCATTTTGTCTAATTCTTTCTTCAAAACACCAAGAATCTGGACACCTTCCACCAGTAACAATGGGTCTTGACTCCACATCCTCTTCTTTGTCTACATGCCTTTCAATCTTCACCAAAAGTAGGAGTGGGATAAAAGGCCTCCCCTTGTTGGCACTTTGCAATACCTTTGCAATGCACATAAAAATATAAGGAAAACTGGAAAAATAAAACATTTTCATCATATTGCCTTCCTTCAACTTGCAGTGTTGAAACTACTTGATGTTTTGAACAAATACTCGGTAAATATGCTGATATGAAAACTTTAACTAGACATGCACGGGGAAAGGAACTAGTATTTATTGAGCATTTTCCGTGTGCCAAGCACTGAGCTAGAGAAGCAGGTATGATTGTGCATGTTATACAGAAATGGAAGCTCAGTAAAGATAAGCAACTTGGCATAGGACACACAATAAGACCCAGAACTAGGATTTGGACCCGTGTTTGTCTGACCCCAAGAACCCATTCCCCATAAGTTTTCTCATTATTGTCTGTAAAAATGTTTACTTAGCACATTTCATTCTTTCCTGAATCCTGCAGAAAGCACACATTCCCAGGAGAAAGCTGAAAATAGCTATACTCCTAAAATTCTATGAAAGTCTCTCTGGGCCGGGCTCAGTGGCTCATGCCTATAATCCCAGCACTTTGAGAGGCTGAGGCGGGTGGATCACGAGGTCAAGAGATCGAGACCATCCTGGTTAACACAGTGAAACCTCACCTCTCCCAAAAATACAAAAAAAAAAAAAATTAGGCACACGCCTGTAGTCACAGCTGCTCAGGAGGCTGAAGCAGGAGAATCGCTTGAACCTGGGAGGCGGAGGTTGTAGTGAGCCAAGATCACACCACCGCACTCCAGCCTGGGTGACAGAGTGAGACTCCATCTCCAAAAAAAAAAGAGAGAAAAGAAAGAAAAAAGAAAGAAAGTCTCTTTAAAGGCAGGAAAATAACACAGAGTCTGGGGGAAGCTTCCTGAGGAGTCAAGGAGTGCTGGAAGGTAGAATGGAACATTTAGATAAAGGAACGTCCTTTTGGCCACAAGGTGGTTGAATGCCCTGGTATGGTAGTTAAGAACAAGGAGGGTCCTTGCAGGGCCTATCAAAGGCTGTACTACTTTCTAATGCTGTGACTTTTGGGTAAATTGCTTAACTTTTACCATTAGTTAAAAGAAAATACAAATATGTACTTCACAGGGTGTGAATTTCAATTAAATAAAGAATGTGAAGTGCTTCACACCATGCTTGATGCTGAGCAATTGCTTAATTTTTTAAAATCACTCCTAATAAATTGTTCATGGAAAAAGCAATCAATCATTCACCTGTCCTGCACATGGACCCTGACTGTTCTACAGTGAGGGTTTAAGTTAGCTTCTGATGGGGCTTGCTAATCAGCCTGCTTAAACCCCGCCAATCCGCTATACTGTGTTAATGTTGCAGGGGCTGGGGGATTTCATCTTAATAAATTTATTTTAATAGTTTGCACCACAGTTTCTCCTGGAGAGAAAACTGTCTTTGTTTAGAAAAATACCCTAATGAGTTGCCTGGGGTAAAAGAGGTGAGGCTCAAGGAGGCATGGGTAAGAAGGAAGCAGCAATCAAAGCCTCACTGAAGAAATGAAGACGAATTTTGAACTGATGGATGGCAAGGAGAAAAAGAAAGAGGAGGAGAAGGAAGAGGAGGAAGAGGAGGTGAGGGAGTGAGGGGTGCCCAACTTGGTAAGGCGTAATAATGCAGTCAAGAAGAACCTTCCAGTGGCAGAGTGGCTTCAGAATTTTTAAGAACATGGATCCTGATACCCTATTTAAATGTTTTGCTGGGATATAAACCTTCACCTACTGCCCTGAAAATCTTCACGAACAGTTCTCTGTGGGAGTGAAGTGGGGATGAAGGGGGTTGCGTGTTAAGGAAAAAGGATTGAGTTCCACGTCTAGGTCAGCATGGAGCACAGAGAAAAATGCAGCCGGAGGAGGTAAGATGCAGTCAGGTCAAGAGTTCGCCAGGAAGAACTACCCATGAGAATAGGTCCGAGAATGTGCAGAAATCTGGGGGATGGCATTGGAACCTTTTAGGAGATATGAAATGGGGGATTGAGGCAATTTTATTTCAATCTCAAAGGACAGAGTGACCTCAGAGACAAGGATGACCTCAGCTAACATCTGAGTTACATCAGCATTTTCAACTGGGGGGGAAAGATAAGAATGCACTATGATAAGTGGGGTTGTAGCAGGCAGTCATTTTCAAAGTGTGTTTGTTTTTTACAGAGAAACTCTTCAAATGAAACATTACTTGGAAGTCCATTGTGAAAACAGATAAAAGAAGGTCTGCTCAGCTTGGCGTGTTTGTGGTGTGCGTGTGTGTGTGTGTGTGTGTGTGTGTGTGTGTGTGTGTGTTTGCACAGAAACGTTTTACAGAGACAGAGGAGGGAAGTCAGGGGCCCTACCTACTTGATTTCCTCACTCCCGACTTTCCTTTTATCCAAAGAGCAGTTCTACTCGTGATAGGAGTCTAACCATCGCAGTTTAAAACCGCATATAGAGGTGCATTTGGCTGTTTTTCAAAAAGGCAGCTTATCAGCACATTAGTTAATTAAGCACACAAGGTCTCAAATCAGATTGCCTTCACTTATCCTGTGATTCTAGGAAAATCGGCTTAATGCTTTTTCATTCTTCATCTATTAATATATAGTAGGTATATAAGCATACACATCTTCACATGGTTATTGTGATGATTAAATGTAAAATTACATGTTAAGTACTGTAAAAAGGACTAGCACAGAGTTAAAAATAAGTGTTAACTATTACTGTTACTTTAATATACGTCTTCCTTTTCACAGAAATAATAACATATAGATATGAGGTTATCAAACCATTTCCAGTTTGGCGATTACCTAAAAAAGGTCCTGGTGGAGAAAGAGGAGAGGATAGCCTAGAGCAAGAGGAAGATACTGGGGGAGGAGGCCTGAGGTGGGTGCTCTGTCTCAGCCCCATGTGGACTGGGAGGAGATGGAGGGAAGTGCCAGGGAAGCAACGTTCTCCTTCCAGGAAGAGTAACCAGTAAATCACTCCAAGCCAGAGACTGTCTGACATATGACACACAACAGAAATTAGCCCATGACCTGTTTAACGCATGTCCATTTGATTGATTTACTATGAACCACATACTGACCCTTCTTGGTATTTTGGCCCAAGAACCCTTAATTAACATTAACAGAAATAAAGTGATTAAAATATCAAAACCCAGTATCCCAGAGAGACATAGAATCTTGAGGCAGAAAGCAGAAGAAAGTAAGAAAGAAATATTTACAACTCTATTTCTTCAGCCTTGTTCTAAAATGAGGAACCAGTCATTATAAAAGCTTACAAAACATAATTCTCTCGTATGCCATCCCAAAAAATTATTGATTACACACTGGAATGTGTGTGTGTGTATGTGTGTGTATGAGTGCATGTGCGTGCACATGTGTGTGATCATTCCTAAAACTTAAAAGGCAAGTTTAAGATTATTATCTGAGTAAATAATCTTCTAACGAAGTCCAAAAGCTAAAATAGTACATATTTTCTACAAAAAAATTCTTGGAATTGTATTGCTTTTAATAAAATTTATTAACTTAATAATTTTCTATAAAAGGAGATGTTAAAAAGAAGAGGGAGTATAAAATGATTTGTGGAGGCTCATAAAACAATAAATTGTACTTGTAGAATACAGAAAAATGAGAGAGAAATGCAGCTCTCCTATTTACAGTAGCCATGTGAAATTAAGGGCAGAGTCCAGTTCTGCACAATTCCCTGTTCCAAAGCAGTCTGGGTAATTTAGTATTATGGGATAAATATTTACGGACAAAGTCTAAAATCCTGGGGATGACTGAAATAGAGTAGCATTGCTGATGTATTTTGGGAAAGAAAAGTAGGAACGTGTTTCTAAGACTTAGAAAAAACTATGGAGTCCCTGGCATGGAGAGATGGGCAAATGGAGAAAGAGAGTTAAAAGCCTGAGAGATAATGAAGTGTAGCCTTCCCTTGTGGCACCAAGGAGTGGTTCCATATGTCTTTACTGGCAGGGAGATTTCTAGAAAATCCTGTTATCAAGCATCAGAGAGTTTGGACAGAGATCAAATGAATCGCCCAAGGTCACACACTGTGTCAGAGCAGACCAAGAGTTAGAACTCATAGCCCTGAAGTTTCCAATCAATTGTTTGGCTCCCTAAACCACAAATGCTTGTCAAGGAAAAAGTCTCCCTACAGCTTAGGCAACACAGCTGCAGAATATTAGCCCAAGGTTTAAACCAGATGGGGTTTCATGGTATCACAGGCTCAGAACCTGTTTTGGGGGATGCATGTGGAAAGTCAGGGAGAGAGGGAAGAGAGGATGGTTGAGAAAACAGTGAGGCCTAATTAGATCTTCCCACCCCGACAGCCAGCCACCCTTCAAAGACACACACAGACACACACACACAAACACACACACACATCCTATTAAGTGTTATTGGCTGATAAAACTGAAAATACTGGTCTGAAAGAAGTCATCATTTTAAGAATAAGTCACCAGTGGGTGGGTATAGCAGTATGCATATATGTGTGTGAATTTTAGCCAGAAATTAGTTTTCAGAAGATGAAAAAAAAAAAAAAAAAAAAAAACAACCACAACAAACATGAGGGCAGTTAAGTCTGAGATCAATGAAAAAAGTAGCTTCCACATTTTGGATGGTCTTCATATTGCTGACCGAGCAGCCTTGGGTTTGTAACTGTTTTGGGCATTACCACCAGTGAGAGCTTGATGAAAGCTGAGGTCCTCTCCCAGGAACTGCTGAAGAACCCATACTCACAAATTTATCATCAAGTTTCAGAAGTTCAAAGATCACCGTTAAGTCAAAGCCCAAGTATGAGAAGCCCTGTTGTAAGAAGTTTGAATGATCAGATAAAGATGTGAAAGGCACTAATTGGCACACTGATTTCCAAAAACCTGCCCCAAGGGACACACGTCTCATGAGCACATGGGACACCTGCTAAAAACACAAATAATCTGAAGATCTCTCACATCCAAATGAATCCGAATTTCTGGGGCTAGAAGGATGAGGCAGGTGCCACAGAAAGCAGTATTTTAACTGATGGCACCAGATGATTCTGATACACGGTCAGGTTTGAGACCCACTGCTGTGGACAGCTGCCTAACGATGCTGTTAACCAGTTGGAGGCTTCCACGGGCTTGCCTCAAATGCCTGTGACAAAGGTAACAGAAGTTGGGGGAGGGAATGTAAGAATAATGATCATATTTTCCAATCTCAATTTGGGACCAAGAGCCTAACAATGGGCAGAAATATTTGAAATCTGGCCTATCGTAAAAACTCAGGGACATGTGGTCATTGTAGATATAAGATGAAAAATGTCTGAGAAATCATTGGTTTAAAGATAAGATAGCCAGATGGTCTGCATTAAGCCAGAAAGTTCCATCATTTGATTTCACATCCTGCATCCTTGATTTTCTCTTGCCTGTTACCTTCTCCTCAAGCTACTGAAACACCCCCTTCTTCCTTTTATCACCGGATTTCTCCAACTGCTCCATATGTCAGAAAACCTCACCAGAGCCCCTTCTGATCAGCCTCAGGGCTGATCTGCAGGCCGACACCAGCCTACTCTGTATTCCTTTGCTTTATAGCCAAAGGCCCCAGAGATTTAACTTATTCCTTCTCCTTAGGTAGCTACTCCAACCCACTCTTCCCTGGAGACTTTGTGCGTTCAAGCCTCAAGCCAGGGAATAAAAAGCAGCTCAGCATCTCAGCTCTAAGAATATCCACACTGGCTGATTTCCATCACTGATCATTACAAGGAGAAAGACAGGAGAAACCAAAATAACACACATAAGAAAGCTCCCCAGAGTTCAGGGGAGCAGTGTTCTTGCTGCTGTGTTCGCTGGGCTAGAATTGCTGACTTCCTTGTGTATCTTCAATTTCTGACTTCCCATTTATTCCTCAACCTGCTACAATAATAAATACAATACTAATAATACATATATGTATATACAAATATTTGTATTCTGTATGCAAGTAAATAAGCCTGTGATGATAGAAGGAATAAAAATACAGGCTAAAAAAACATTGATGCTTATTTCGAGAACTGTTTTACTCGCTGAGAAGAAACAAAAGGAAACAGGCAACAAAATGCAAAACATCCTCCTCTCTCTGTTTATCATGGTGGTTTGCCTTCTGATAAATACAAAAAATAGATCTGAATTAAACCAAAGTAAGTTAAAACTCACCAAGACTATTTCCACCTAAAGATAGATGAAGTTTCCCCTACTGTTTTGCAAACTTGTTCCTCTTGCTATTTAGCTAACAGTGAGGAAAGCAGTCCTATAAATTAACACTTAACAATCTATTTGTGTTTGAAATGATAATTTTTATCAGTCTCATTATTATTATGGCCATTCACCAAATGCTAAGTACCATACTATGTTAAGAGTTATTGGCCGGGCGTGGTGGCTCACCCCTGTAATCCCAGCACTTTGGGAGGCTCAGGTGGATGGATCACCTGAGTTCAGGAGCTCAAAACCAGCCTGGCTAACATGGCAAAACCTCGTCTCTACTAAAAATATGAACATTAGCTGGGCACGGTGGCAGGTGCCTGTAATCCCAGCTACTCAGGAGGCTGAGGCAGGGAGAATCGCCTGAACCCAGGAGGCAGAGGTTGCAGTGAGCAGAGATCGCTGTTGCACTCCAGCCTAGGCAACAGAACGAGACTCTGTCTCAAAAAAAAAAGTGATCCAAATTGAAAAATGAGTGATGTAGGTAGAGTACTAGCTTGCCACTATTTTATAGAGATAGAAAATGAGGCTAAATATCTTGAGGTTAAATATCTTGAGCAAAGTAACATAAATTCAATGTGCTTGAACAAGTGCTGTGCTGGTAAATGTTTAACAAATGGCTCTTTGGGGTGATAGGAGAGTCCTGATCTTTAGTATTTGCTGGTTCCAAGGTGTAAATACCCCCAACAAGGGGATCACAATTGTCAGGTAAGGTACATCCCTGACATCATGCACACCGTGGCTTGAATATAGACCAGCTTAATTCTAAAAGGAGAATATTCCTTCACTGCCACATTCTTGAGAATGGAAGTATGAGTATGGAAATTGGACACTGGACATGTTTTCTTCCTGGCAGTATCAAACAATTTCTAACTATCAGCTATTTTCACTCATTGTAATGGTAAAATATAGAGGAAAGCCACTAAGTTATCCTGTTGCTGTGTGAAGTCAGAGTCAAAGTGAAAACTCTTTGTAGATAACTTTGAAAGCTGAATTGAAAGTAATACGACAAGGAAACATTATATAAAGTATGATAAGCCCACTAATGGAAACTATCAGCCCTCTTTTAACATGGGGCTGATATAACAAATGACATCACAAATGAATCTGAAGGGAAAAAAGTTTTAAATGGCTTTACTGGGTTGAAAAAACTTTGAGATAAAAGATAGGAATTACTTCATGTGTATTCATAAAACTAAAGTGAATTTTATTCCTGTATCAGATTTTAAAAGCTATATAATAAAAATATATTCTCCCACATATTAAAAAATCCCAAACAAAAATTGTAAAGCTGATGGAAAGGCCATGCATTATTAATATATAAAAACTGTCAAACAAAAAAATTCAATCATAAAATTGGCAGAAATTATTTGCTTCATTTAGATTTTAATATAAAAACTGTGAGTACTCTAGATGAAGGAAAAAAACAAAATTAATAGATGTATGCCATTTGGCAATGTAAAATAAACAAAATATTTTCCAATTATTTATCAGAAAATTTCTTTAGCCTTCATTTTAAATATACTGGCCTACTATAGGATGGAAGACAATAATACAAACATTAAAGAATTAATAAACAAGGCAGAAGTACTCATGACTAGTAATGTAGATGTTTCAATTATTTAATTAAAATAGTTCTATTAAAATGGGATTGCAAGAGGCCTGGTTATATTTCTGATGTAATGGGTTCTTACAGAAGCAGACATGCCCATGGGCCTTTGTAAATAATAGAATCTCATCTCTGAAAGAAAATATGGAAGGCGTCATCTAGCCAAAGGGGAACTCCCATAGTATTCCTGGCCAGAGTGGGAGAGGAGGTAGAGGTAGGGAGTGTTGAATGTTAGAATGTGACTCAAAGACGGTGGGTTTTCAGCACATTCTAACATCGGATGGCTCTAATTAGGAGAGTGTCCATCTTTGTTCAACAGGATCCTCTATCTATAAGTTCAGACTTATAATTGTTTCCTAATTCTGTCTCCTAGAGGACAGAAATGACAGAAAGAAAATAAAATTTAGAAACAGAAAAATCAGATTTAAATTCTGAAGACATCACCATTAACAAGATTAGCTCAAATAATGTAGTATCTGAGCCTCAGTTTCTTCACTTGCAAAACAGTGATAAAATAGATACCAACAAAAATTATAAAAGTCAAATGAGATAATCATGTATAGTGCCTTATGAACGAAGTTTCTATACAAATAAATAATAAATCATGTGAACTCCAAAAATTACTTCTGACAGTCCCTAAATTATTTGAAAATAGCTAGCAAATGCCATCAAGGATCTTCGAAGAGGGAAAATTTCATATTCAACACAGAATGTATGAAGACATGCTACTAGCCTGAATATCTCCTTTCAAGTTCCAGTTTGGTCATGAAAACAAAGTTACTTGGTCATGTGCAATTCTAGGACAGTAGTATGGGTACCACTTTGATGCTGCTCATGGCTTCAGTAGAAGTCTGGTTAGGTTCTGACTTATTTTGGCAGTAAAGCTACAGCAATTCCTGTTGAGTGAGATGTGGACTGTGAGACAGTCAACTGTAGTTTCAAGATTTGTGTCCTGAGCAACGGGAAAGATGGACTTGCCATAAATAAAGATGCAGAAGACGGTGGGTAGAGCAAGACTAGCAGAAAAATTTGAGATGTTTATGAGACATCCATGTAGAGATATCAAGTAGTACTCTAACAAAATAAGAATTGAGAGGATCAAAAAAGAAAGATAGCAGTAATAAAGAATGTCAAAACCAACTTAAGAGTTCTTTGAAAATAATTCTCAGAACATTAGCTGTGTAACAGGTCTAGAAAACAATCACTCAAAATTCAAAAAGCCCCCAAGAATGTCTTCTAGAGAAAGAATGAAATGGATATACATAATGACTAAGCAACAGGATTATAGTGAAGTAAAAATACTTTTTTCTCTCAATTATGTAGAAGGCAATTAAAACAAAAAGAAAAATAGTATTTCAGAGTCGATGACATATGAAAAAACTGAAGGAAGACATGATGTTGAACAATCAGTACAATGTAAGAAAAAACAATCTCTTTAGCTTTTTTATGAGTAGCACAAGGGTTATATCACTGAAAGCTTTGAGAAAAAATTATAGTCACAGCTCTCCATTGGAAAAAAAAGTATGCAGTTATTGGTTTTCAGTGTTTAGAATCAATTTATAGACAAAATCTGAAAGTTATGGAATTTCTAAGACATTTTAAGTCTTCCCAGATTTTAGAATTTCACTTTTTAATCCCAGTAAGTTATTTCTATAATGGCATTCATAAAAGTTAAGTGCCTTTTTTTCAAGTAGCTAAATTTCTTTTCTCCTGGAAGAGCAAGTCAACGAGTAAGAAAACATGCACACACACACACACACACACACACACACACACACACATATAAATCTAACCAGTTGAATCAGAATTTTACTGGACATCTGAGCTCTTGTACTGTGAGTCAAAGTTCTTCTTCAAAAATATGTCAAAAGGAGACATTTCATCGGTACACTTCAGATAGCATAAAAGTATAAAGCTTCAAGCTTGACAGAAACTTTGGAGGAGATCTTATTCAAAGCCTAGGACTGGATGACCTCTCAAAGCTTTTATCTAACCTTGATCATCTAAAAGTATTCATTAAGCCCCCTTATGACAAAGGTTTTCAGCTAGACATTAAAATAGTGTTCATCCATTTTTCAAAGACATAATTCCAGTCTTTAGGATTGATTTCTTCAAAATAGTGGGAAATAGAGGCAAATGTCTTTGGATTTTTTTTTTCAAATATTAAACAAGAAGAAAAAGATTAATAAATAAAGTGTAGGTTTAAAAAATAAGACAAAACTTATTTGCCTTGTGGCACAGTATGAAAAAAGTCATAATTATGCCTGACCTTTAATCCACTAAAAACCACCTTTTCAAATTTGAAATGGAAAAATTTATTGGATACCTGGGTTTTACATGCAAATGGGAAAATATAGACTTTTCCAGGACAACCAACATCAATCAAATAGAAGATGCTGTTAAATGTGTTGTCTCCAGGACCCCTCCATTCAGACCAAAATGCTACTTGAGGCCTCCATTCCCCTTGGAGGGCAAGGTGGGAAGGGGACTGAACCCCACTTCTATTGAAGACTGTTCCCCAACAGGACTTCTCCCTGAGTGAAGGACAATAGTCCTTATGGCCACCTTCAGAGTCTTTCCTTGTTTCACTCGTTCCATGGTCCCACAATCCACCATGCACTTCAAGTGGACTACTTACTCCCCAAAATAGTTTGCTTTGTCTCTGAGGATAACTAGGTTTGCATTCCTATTGCATCATTTACTAGCATATGGATCCTGGGCAAACCACTTTAGCTTTATTTCGCTTTGATTTTCTCATGTATAAAACTAATTTAATGTTGGGCGTGGTGGCTCATGCCTGTAATCCCAGCACTTTGGGAGGCTGAGGCGGGTAGATCACTTGCGGTCAGCCTGGCCAACATGGCAAAACCCCGTCTCTACTAAAAACACAAAAATTAGTTGGGCGTGGTGGTTCACAACTGTAATCCCAGCTACTTGGGAGGCTCAGGCATGAGAATGGCTGGAGCCCAGGAGGTGGAGGTTGCAGTGAGCCAAGATCGCACCACTAAACTCCAGCCTGGGCCACAGAGTAAGACTCCATCTCAAAAAGAAAAAAAAAAACTACTTTAACATACCTAGTTCCTGGTTTCTTCAAAGAATAAAGAAGAAAACACATGTAAATACATTGTTCAGTATCTGGCACATAATAGTCATTCAATAATTATTAACCACATTCTCCAGTCATATATTTATGCTATTTTTCACATTAGGTAGTGATCCTGAAATAAAAAATATAGAGACCTCTGAGGGAAAAGAAACAGGTGATGTTTCCAAGAGATAAATGCATTAATTAAACCGTAATATTATTAAACATATTAAATGGTATAGGTGTCTTTCAAAATGGAGAGCAAACTCTTCTTAATCACTTATTTTACTTTCCATGCAGTGAAGGGGGCACATAAGAATCCATGGCACACACAACCAGGAGGATGAAGCAGAAGAAGGTGGGAAGCCCCATTTCTTAAAATTAAAGCTTATACTTGGGCTTATGATTACACATAGAAAGACAAAAATTTTATTTGCTCCTAAATGATCCTTGTGTTTTCGCTAAACAATTGAATAACCACAATATACCACGGATCCCACATTTCCATGACTGAAAGAACCTAGGAGATCATGTATTCTGCCCAACTTCTCCACTGAACAGCAGATGAGCTCAGGCAGAAAAAGTCCATTCTACAGCGATGTGTTGGGTACCCATTCTGTAAGAGGCATGGTGATCTGTATTTAACAAGGTCACCAAGGCCTTCTGACTTTCTGCTCAGGATCCTTCTAGGTTCCTATCTTGATAGCAAAAAATAAATTTTTTTCTCACTTGAGAATTAAAGGGCATGAATTAACATAACACCACAATAAACAATTTTATTTACTGGGATTGAGAGGTTCTGGAAAAATGGTTTTCTGGGTAGGTGGGAATGTCCAGAAAACATTTTTGTTAAAATCTGTGTTAAAAAAATTGCTTGTTAATCTATATTTATTGTATTGCGACATTTGTTTAAAGAAAAAAAATCTTTGAAAACTGAGGAGCTTGTAGTTCCCTGGGTGATCTTTCATCAATCTGACTATAGATGGAATCTGTATGTTATTAGATCAAATTTGTGGTGGATTCAGCATTCAATATAGAATTAGCAGTGTGTTTGTAAATAAATTCTTTTTAAATTTTTATCATTTTCTTTTTTTCTTTCTTTTTTTTTTTTCTTTTGAGATGGAGTTTTGGTTTGTTGCCCAGGCTGGAGGGCAATGGCGTGATCTTGGCTTACTGCAACCTCCGCCTCCCAAGTTTAAGCAATTCTCTCACCTCAGCCTCCCAAGTAACTGGGATTATAGGCACCTGCTACCATGCCCGGCTATTTTTTGTATTTTTAGTAGAGATGGGGTTTCACCATGTTAGCCTGGTCTCAAACTCCTGAACTCAGGTGATCCATCCACATTGGCCTCCCAAAGCGCTGGGATTACAGGCGTGAGCCACATTATCCCTATTTTATAAGTAAAGAAACTGAGACACAGGTTAAAGAAGTTACCCAGGGTCACACAGCCATTGAGTAGTATGGCCTTTATCATTTTCCTCTTTATTTTCAATACAGGAGAAAAACACTTTCCTAAGTTCTGATTTCAACAATTTTGTGTTTGTTTTTAATAAACTGTGGTATGGCCTCATTAATCTTTAAAAAAAAACAGCACAACTACCATTAAGCTGGTGCACCTTTCCCTATTTCCATCTATAGCAATGACTACTGCATAAACTAACATTTCCCAAAGCATGGTCCTCTGACACTGACTTTGTGAGATGCTGCAAGAAATAAAGATGTCAGCATATGATTGTCTCCTCCTGGAGACAGACACCTACATTGGATTAGCAAAGGATTCTCAAAGTCCAGCAGAAAAGAAGCCTGCTTACATTGTATGTGCTGGTGGTTCCCAAACTAACATAAAGCAGTACATGTCTTTAGCAGAGCATGTATTAACATCCTCTGACTTGCTTTATACAGAACAGACTGGGGAAGTTGGCTATAGACACACAAGAATGTGTCCTCTTCTCGAATGCAGAACTCAACAAAATTTAGGGAAAGCAAGAAAAATGAAGAAACATTCTTCAAAGTCAATTGGATAATGTAGTTAAAAAAAAAAAACAGCCTTGGGGTTGTTTATAATTTTTGGCTTATCTTCTACCCTGACCTCAGGGTAATTCCCTGAATTAAATGGTAGGCTTTCAGAGAGTGGAGACTAAAAACCATAGACATACGAATTAGCACAGATATGACATTCGAAACATGACAGAAATAACTTGAAAATAAAATTCAAACTGTAACCCATAGTATGCACTACTATGTAGTTAGAAATACTGGGTGCAGGCCAGGCGTGGTGGCTCACACCTGTAATCACAGCACTTCGGGAGGCCGAGGAGGGCGGATCAAACCGACCAACATGGAGACCAGCCTGACCAACATGGAGAAACCCCGTTTCTACTAAAAATACAAAATTAGCTGGGCGTGGTGGCAGGCGCCTGTAATCCCAGCTACTTGGGAGGCTGGGGCAGGAGAATCGCTTGAACCCGGGAGGCGGAGGTTGCGGTGAGCTGAGATTGTGCCATTGCACTCTAGCCTGGGTGACAGAACGAGACTCCATCTCAAAAAAAAAAAAAATTGGGTGCAGGATAAGACTGGGAAGGAAGAGCAAATGTGTGTGTCAGCTGTTGCAAGAAGACTACACCATTGAGCTCATCTTTCCAGAATAAAAGAATTCTGATGAGGAAAACTAATGTCAAGAAGCCACTGCCTATGCTCTTTATCTCTCTGTCTCCTCCATCTATCCCAGTTGGGGAAAACAAAGTCATGATGGAGCTAAGTGAAGTCTAACTCCACACATAATCAGAGAATAAACTGTCTAAACACAGTTTCTGAGTGCCCGAAACAAATGTGGCCATGCAGATCATTAGGGCATCTTCACTTCGTGCCCCTTTTAGCGACTCCAGCTGTGAAAGCAGCCTCATGGTGACGGCCCCCACCAAAACCCTGCTATGACAGCCCCACAGTCTTTCGAAGTAAGAGGCTTCACACATACAGACTCTCAGGGGGAGTCTGGCATATAAGAGTATCGTTGAATTTGGCTCCAAGGATTTTTTTTTTAGATGGAGTCTTGCTTCATTGCCCAGGCTGGAGTGCAGTGACATGATGTCGGCTCACTGCAACCTCCGCCTCCTGGGTTCAAGCGATTCTCCTGCCTCAGTCTCCCTAGTAACTGGGATTATGGGCATCCCCCATCATGCCCAGCTAATTTTTGTATTTTTAGTAGAGACGGGGTTTCACCATGTTGGCCAGGCTGTTCTCGAACTCCTAACCTCAAGTGATCCACCAGCCTCAGCCTCCCAAAGTGCTGGGATTACAGGCATGAGCCACCGCATCTGGTGGCTCCAAGGATTTAAGCAGTGACTTTAAAATTCAAAATATATTTAAGAAATGCAAATACAATTCTAATAATCATGTTAGCTAATATTATTTGAATGTTACCATATGCCAGATACTGTACTAAGTTTTGCAGGTTTTTCTCATTTAATCTTCATAGCTAACCTGTGAGATACAAGCTGTAATTATTCCCACTATACAGATGAGAAAAGGCACAGAGAGTTGAGGTAAATTTCCCAAGGCTGCACAGCTATCAAGGAAGGAGGGTGATGCTATTCCAATCTAGGAAGGCTGACTCCAGACTCTGTCCTCTTAATCTTGATACCATGCTGCTTCTTGTAAGCTAAACAAAAGCTTTGGTTTGCCAAAGTAAACAAAGACAAGGTCCTGATATTTCTTGTTTGTGTGGTGGCTGGGTGTGGGCTCTAGAGGGCAAGTGTACGAGTTCAAAGCTTTGCTCTGTCTCTAAGTGGGTAAGGGCCTGCGAGCAAGTATTCAACCTCACTAAAGTCTCAGCCTCCCCAGCTGTAACATATGGATCATAATGATCAGCATTCCAGGGCACTTACTATGAGCCACATATTCCAGAGCACTTTGCATAGATGAACATATTTAATTCTCACAACAACGTATGAAGAAGAGACTGTTATCTAATATTACCTAAATAATAGTAGGACTAAAGGTTCTCGCAGATATAAAGTACTTTGAAAAACGGCCTATCCATAAATGCTAGCCACAAGAGACATCATGAACATAGAAATAAACTGCATAACACATTATGAGGATCATTATTGTAATTTAAGAATGTTGTTACTAATCAGTGATCTGTTGTAAAAAAAAAAAGGGGGGGGAATCAAAGTTTTTAACAGTGCTTTAATGAGACATAAATTTATAAAATATTAACAATAAAAATGACTAGAAGACAGCTCTGTGATAGTGGTTACAGCAGCAGCTCTGCATACAGGCTGCACAGATCATATCAGCTGTTCTACTCAATGGCTGTGTGACCCTGGGTAACTTCTTTAACCTGTCTATGTCTCAGTTTCTTTACCTATAAAATGAGGATAATAAAAATGCCTGCCTTAATAGGATTATAAAATGGAGATAATAAGAAAGTTTGACTCACAGGACAAAGAGTTTTAAGTGAGCTAATATACGTAATGTACTTTGAAGAAAGCTTGGCAGATACCCAAAAAGAGTTAGCTATTACTAGGAGTACTATTGTTACTACTACCACTACTATGCAATTTTACTACCTAACTCAGTATATCTTGTGAGAGAATTATTAACCCAAGAGAAGAAATGGGGCACATGGTGTAGAGATCACATTTGATTTAAAATAAAAGCAACACTCCACATGAAGATCCAGTAACCCTATTTCCTGAAGTTTGTGAAAGGACATTCAGTCATTCAGTATGTTTTGTTCCTCTTTCAATCATGCCCCACCATTAATAATCTAAAATGGAAAACTTCCTAGGGTATTATTTTAAATGAGTCATTACTAACCATTATGATGCAGCCTGAAAATACAACTAGCACTTCAAAGAAAATTGAATTTGCTAATAAATTATGATAATTCATTTTACTTTACACAGGGAACGACTGACTGTTTACAGATTCATAGCCTAATAGCTCTTTCATTTTCAGTGTTGGAAAATGAAATATACCTCAAAGCATATGGTTATTCTGGAGACATATTACTAAATCTGATGCACCCTGACTAAAAAACTGTATGAGTGAACCATGAAATGTACAGCAAATGTACAAGAAGTTACCGTCAACAGTGGGCAGACAAGGCCTGGAGTCAGAACCAAGCACACTCAGGGGAAATGTCTAAAATGCATGCCTTTCCCCTAATTCCACTTCCTTACCCAGCCTCCCCAGACGTGGGTTCTGGATCAGAGGAGGAGTGCTGATCCAGATAGAAATTCTGACACACATTCAGTTGCTTTGAGAATTACCATAATTAATCTTAAACTGACAGGAGGCAAGACCAAAGTTCATGATGGAATTCGAAGTCTTAAACACAACTAAATTCCCTTGGCCCAAAGTGGAGCCACACATAATAAGCTGTTAAAAATCAGGATTATTGTTCAAACCAGCACTGGGATTCCAAGGGCAGTCCAGAATCACTAGGATTTGCTGGTTTCTTCTCAGAACACCCCATTTCTAAACACTCAATTTTGGCTTTGCCAAAACAAATGCAGTTTCCAAGGGGGAGCAGATGAGGTGTAAGTTGAACCATTACGCGTTACAAGTCGAATGTCTGAATCATTTGAGAACTAGCTCTCTTCTAGCAAAATGTTTTCCTAGAATTTTTTTCTGACTTATGTATTATATTAATGCTCTTCCCTACTCAACAAATTTTATCACTCACTAATAGACAACAAAATAAAAGACACACCACAAAAATCAGGACCAAGAAAAATAACACCCAAGCTAAAAAATATATCACAAAGTTAATATAATTGGGCCACAGATTCTGTTTTAAGCTTCCTGGTAGTCAAAGCAAGAAGAGAAAAGGTTTGCAAGAATTAAGTTAAAGGGATTGCAGATAGAGACCCAGATGTAAATGATTATTCAAAAATTACATGTATAAATATTTCCTTAATGTGGGTGTACTTAAGACTTACATGCGGATGCTACATGAAGGTTTTCCTTCACACTTCCCTTCCAGAGCAATGGCTGCTGCCCTTTCCCTTAGGCCCCAAGCCACTCCAGAAGGAAGTGGTGTCCTGCAGACGAGACAATACTTCAGTTTTTAAAATATGGTCAGTGTTTCCATTTTAAACCAAAAGAAATAATTGTTATTATTATTATTTGATGAACAAGCTTTGTGGTTTGGGAACCTCACATGGCACCTATAATACCAAGAGCTCAATAAATGTTAACTAACTGAATTGAGCTTTGTGGCTAATAGCCTGAACACTTACATTGCTCTACTCCATTATAAAGGAAAATTTGAAAGTAATGGCCTATAATGCATTCTGATTTGGCTTAAAAAAAATCAAAAAACAAATCACTTAGCGTTTTGAAATGTCGACTTATCAAGAACTCAGAAAGAGATCATTTGTTACTCCAATGCATTATGCAAAGCAAAAGGTCAGTAAACATGTGCTGGATCGGATTCGGCCCAATTCTTCAGGTATCAGCTATATAGTCACAATCCATTTGTTGTTTTGCTGTTATTTTTTTAAGAGTTTTCAGTGCAATTTTGAAGTACCAATATGTAAACAAAAGTTAAGAAACAGTGTGTGAAAGAATAAAGTGATAATCACATTTCTTTTTCTTTTTTTTTTTTTTTTGAGATGGAGTCTCGCTCTGTTGCCCAGGTGCAATCTGCTTACTGTAAGCTCCACCTCCCAGGTTCATGCCATTCTCCTGCCTCAGCCTCCCAAGTAGCTGGGACGTCAGGTGCCCGCCACCACGCCCGGCTAATTTTTTTGTATTTTTAGTAGAGATGGGGTTTCACCGTGTTAGCCAGGATGGTCTCGATCTCCTGACCTCGTGATCCGCCCGCCTCGGCCTCCCAAAGTGCTGGGATAATCATATTTCTATTGTAAGGAAGAATGGAGAGAACTTCCCATGCAGTGAGAAGCTACCCTGCATCCATCCTGGTCTCTGGTACTTACATGAACCTAAGTTAATCTTCACAATAATCCGATCATGTACACTCTACCATTATCATTGTTTCACAGATAAGGATACTAGGGCTCAAAGAGGTTAAATAATGTGCTCGAGATCACAGATACATACAGCAAGAGAATAGGAGCCCATTTATATGTAATTGCAAAGCTCATGTTATTCCTAGCATACCTTGAAAGAACATTCACATAGCAGAATACAGGATACTAGGCCCATTTTTCTAAATGAGAAAACCAAAAAAAATCAGAAAGACAAACTGGCATTGTAGTGTATGCTAGAGACAGAACTACAACTCGGAGCTGTTCTACCAATCACAGTAGGTTTGCTCTGAAAAGTGTCACTGACAGAGTGTCCGTGACATTCTGAAGACAGTTTAAGTTAATAAATAACAACAATGTGTTTTCCCTCTTTTCTTTTTACCATTTTTGGCTCATTGGTAAAACAGACTTTGTAAGCTTATTTGTGAATTCAACTATTGTACTAAAGTACAAAAGGACATAATTGAGATAAACTAAAAAATATAATAAATGGACTAAAAACACACCGTTTTCACAAGGGAAACCACTATTTTCTAGGCTGCATTCCCTAGAGCTAGAGAAAATACTTCTAATGAGCTTTGAGTAATCCCATAAATTGAAAACCTAACCTTGTAATGCCTGATAGTAATCTAAACTACTTAGCTATGTTTTGTATTATACCACAAAACAGTGGTTTGTTCATGAAATGTAACAAAATATCATGTGTTACTCATACTTTGGCCTTAGGCTTACATGTGTTGAAACCATAATCCCCAACGTATTTCAGAGTATGTTTGGACAACCAAAGTTACCCTACGAAAATGACCCAAAAGGAAAACCCTATTCCATTAAAAACACAAATTGCTAAGAGTTAAATGTTTAAGTATTGCCTAGAGTGTATAAGGAAGATTTAAAATATAGTGTTCATTTTTCCCACTTAAAAAAATGAAAAAGGAACATTCAGGAACGATGCAGGAAAGTTGTAAATTAGCTATATCCTGATCTACTTCATGTATGTTACATTACGTAATGTGGAAGAAACGAGATACTACATCCCAACAAAAGGCTGTTTGATACAAAGAGCTTCAGATTCAGAGAGAAAGGGGCTACCTTGGTTCTAAATTAGGAAGACGTTTCAGGGTAATGCAGAATATCAGAAACTAATAATAGAACTCACAGGTTGAAGACCCTCAAGTCAAAATACCTGAAGCCCATCTTGGAAATATTCATGGACATTATTGAGGCCATAAATTCTCCATAGACAGGGCTATGGTAGTTAAGAATGTGAGCAGCAGTATCAGGTAGAAACATGTCTAAAACCCAGTTCTGTAATTCACTAGGTCTATGGCCTTAGGAAAAGCACTTCACCTCTCTGGGTCTGAATTTCCTCTTTTCTAAAATGGATACTTTTCTCCCAGAGTTGTGAGGATTAAATGAGATGGTGTATGCAACATGCTTAGTAAATTTCCTGGCACCTAGTATGCACTCAACAAGTCTTAGCTACTATTATTGTTGTCATTATTATTGTTTTATGAATAATCTTCATGATTTGGGGACTTAACAGGGTAACTATGATAAAAGAGCTCAATACATGTTTACTAATTGAACTGAGCTCTGTGGCTAAAAGCTTGAACACTTACATTGCTCTACTTAATTATAAAGGTAACTTTTAAAGTAACATCATCCAAACTCTGGGAAATACTGGGTTGGCCATCAAATAAGACTGGGAAACGCTAGGTTCCTGCAGAACTTCTCAGAGTCTTCAATGTCACAAGGTAAATTATAAAATTCAGCCAGGTGTGATGGCTCACACCTGTAATCCCAGCACTTGGGAGGCCTAGGTGAGAGAAGCACTTAAGCCCAGGAGTTTGAGACCAGCCTGGGCAATATAGTGAGACCCTGTCTCTACAAAAAATTTAAAAATTAGCTGAGTGTGGTGGTGCATTCCTATAGTTCCAGCTACTTGGGGGGCTGAGGTGGGAGGATAACTTGAGCCCAGAGGTTGAGGCTGTAGTGAGCTATAATTGTATCACTGCACTCCAGCCTGGCTGACAAAGTGACACTCTGTCTCAAAAAAAAAAAAAAAATCCAGAAAAAGCATACAATAAAGCCTTCAGTGTTTCTCAAATTTATTGCACAGATTCCTCACCTGGAAAACAATTTTACAACATGATCTCTACATTCCTCCCTCCTAATTAAAAGGTTAGAATATCAAGCATTTTTCTGATCAAATTATGCATATGAATACATAAAAAGGATGATTCTTCTTCGAAAGCAAAACAAATTAGAACTTTCTGCATTTTCCCTTTCCAAGGCCCACCCAAAAAGGACTCAATCTCTGATGCTCCATCATGTATATAACTTAATCCTTTAACTTAAATAGATCAAGTTCATCTAGAGTTTATTTTTAAGTCATTTCTGATTTAATATGGCTTTTTAAAAGCTTACGTTGGTTGACATTAAATCCTAGATGTTAACGCTGACAGGTTCCATGATAAAGACTTGATCATGTAAGAGTAAAACATTTTTTGAAAAACTTACTTTTTAGTAGGTTTCTTATTAAGACAAAATGTTACCCAAATCCAAATCCTCAACAATGTTTAATGTGGTAAAAGCAGTTAATGAAACTGTCACTTTAATCTCCTAAGTAAAAGGGAAGCAGGAAACAAGGAAAGGCTCCATTTGCCTCTATTCCCCTGTATTCCACACAAAGACGCTTCCTGGATGCTCTAGGATCCCAAATCTCGCCCTTTTGCATTTTCTCTCTCTGAGCTGAAGACCCTGTTTCCATCTGTGTAGTGGGTATCCTCACACGTGGTCGCTTCAGTTTCCATATGCCCAAAGTGAAACTCACGACTGCAGCACCAAACCTTTCTCAGCTCATCCTGTTATCAGTGTCATCCACACTTTCAGTCTTCTTCAATGCTTCCTTCTTTGTCATCCTCCACCTTCAATCAACTTTCTGCCTCTTAGAAAGCTTTCCCGTTAATCCTTTCTCCAGGAGCCCCACTCTCTTTGTCCTTCTTCTTTTGTCTTTTCTGCTCCAACAGAAGGTAGACAGCTTCCTGTTGCTATTTTTGACATTCCTCTACCCTCTATCCATCCACTACCTTCCTGAGAGATGTTTCTAAAATGAAAAGCAGCCCTCACACTCTCCTAGTGACAGTCGTTCAACGACTTGCCTTCTCCGACTGAATACGATGCAATCTGCTCAGCATGCTAGACAAGGCACTGCACAAACTGATTGTAACCTACCACTCTAGCCCACCTCTCACCAAGCTCCACTCCTTGGACTCCAGCCTCTCAAAAGGCCCTGTGAGACACACACACACCATTTCTTCTACCATCTACTATCTGCCACGCCCAAACTTGTCTTACTGGCAAACATACAAGTATCTTTCAAACATACAAATATCTTTTAATACTTACCTCTCACCAGCCTGCAGAGCAGATCCTAACTCCTACCCCTTCATAGTGTTGTTATTCCCATCTCTGTGTTTCCCTCGCAATTAATATCTTCCTTTATTAGTGTGTTTTTTAAGTTCTCCTCTGGACGGAGTTTCTCAAGATTGTAGGTATTCTCTTTTCTCCTCCATTTCTGACTGCTCTCTACAGCCCTACACAATGGCAGGTACATAGTCGGTGCCCATTCATGTCTGTTCAGTGACTGAAAAATAAATGAATGAATCAAATCCAAATAGATTTTAAGGCTTTGATTTTAGAAAGAGCTATGTTAAACATAAGGAAAGCCACACAAATATGCCAAATCTTGTATTCTCCAAAAAAACACGGAATATCTTGAGTGGAAAGAGTGAGTTACTAGGTAATTCTTTGTGTGGGTCCATTTGTGTCTGTGAACATAAAGACGTACACTTTGGTGTATTGTGCCACTGAACTGAATGTCATCAGAGCAAATGTAAAGCCCCATTCCACGATGAAAGGAAACTGGTGGCTCTGAAGTTGATTGGAGTAAAACATAAAGTAAGTTATCATTTGTTTCTTTGACATAAAATTTCCCCAAATAACTCAAGGCTGTATTTCCATGGCCATCGTCTTATGCTGGTAGAGCATCACTCCTGAGAGGAAAATCTGCCCCCGTGTTAGCAAAAGCTTGAAATTCTTTAAGCCAGGCGCTGAGAGGCGGACGCGTGTGCTGCTCTGCCCAGCAGAGGGCACACAGCCCCCAATACCGTGCAACGCCGGCCATCAAAGCGGGCTGGCAGGACTGGGTGAAGTTGTTCAACAAACCCAAGCCTTTGAATCCGGGTCAGCGTGCTGACCTCCTGTCCTTGCCTGCTCCTTGGCATTCTGTTCTGTTCTTCCCACTCACAATGAGGTGTTAGTGAACCTCAAGCTCTCAGGCAAACCCGTTTGGGAGCAAATAGGGAGAGGGCAAAGGTGAGGCTCTTCACTCAGGAGTGTGATGATTTCTTGGAAAAGGAAGCTTTAACTCACTCCTACTTGGCCTTACAGTGACAGAAAGCACCCTAAACTGGCTATAGCCTACATTCTAATTCTTTCTTTCTGTAAGTGAATAAGGGACGATCAAGGTGGGGGTTTTCAATAGGCCCCTGTCCCCAAACTGAATGAAAATGACTCTCTACTCTTACTGATTTGGTTTAAATATCTTAGGCATCGGAAGTGTAACGTTAAGATCACTAGTCTATTAAAAGGCTCAATGGCATAAAGTCCTTCACCTAAATACGTTATTTATACTTAATGAGCTTGTAGAAGAGGAGCGAAAACATGACATCCTCTCACATTCTAAAAACAGATGCTTCTGTTGATCTATGTAAGAGGAAGGGCCAGTGATCTAGAAAGAAAAAATTAAAAATACAAAATAAACCAAGCAGATTCATGTAACATTCAAGGAAACCTACAAGTTCCCACGCTTTTTCTGAGAAAAGCAAGGGACCATCATAGGCCTTGCAGGGAGATTGCTTGTCTGCTCTGTTAATCATGAAACTTGTTAAGAGGGAGGAGATAGCAAGGGCCTCGGGCGAACACTCAGAAAGATGTCACAAAATACTTTTTTTCTTCCTTCAAAATATGCCTCAAGCACAGAAACGAGAAGCCTGCCCGGAATTTTACCCCCACATTGAGGAACCTCCCCCACTCCTATGCAAAGGTCTAGAAGCAGGAGGGAACATGGCTACTGAAAAATGGTGGCCACCTCAGGATGGGCTAAAGAACAAAGTGGGGACTGGGGATAATGAAAGATGAAGGTTGGTGTAACTCACTGTAAATAGCGCTAAGGATATTATCTATATCTTAAACTCACGAGAAGCCACTGAGGAATTTTAAACAGGGGAATGACATGAGCAGATTTGCATGTTGGGAAGATCATTCTAGAAATAGAAAATAGTGGGGCAAGTTTATGCATATCAAACATGAAATGTCAAATTAAATTTCATGCTTACTAATTATGATAGGGCATGGCAAGATCATTAACTTATTTTTGAAAAGCAGGACATACCAAATAAGAAGGGGAATTTTTCTCATTTCTAGTCCACTTGACTTACACCCTAAACCCAGGGCCTCATGCCTTGAACAATGCTAAGGGCTACTATTTATGCAGACCATAAGGCTGAGAACCATCTAAATCCAGAATAAAATCTCAAGGGATTTGAGATTTTATCAGTACTATCCTACTTTCAAATCATAAAAGTATTATTCATTATACAGGAACTTAATTACACAAAAAAACTTATGGAACAGCTACTATATTTAATCCATTGTACTAGACTCTTTTGGGAACTCTGAGATCAATAAAATGTAATCTTTGTCTTTAGAAATTCAGAGACTACTTCAAATCAAGTAGAGGAAATCACTTCTTTTTTATTGGGTTTATGGGTAACCTTGGGCACACAAGAATACCAAAGAAAGCACTTTCGCTATCATTATGCATTTGTCATACATATTCCTATGTATCTAAACCCTTTTAGTCTCTTAACATCCAATTATTCAAGTGTAAATATAGAGTCTGAACTTTGGAAAATCAAATTTAAATCAACATATTTTCTATACTCTCAGGTTGCATTTCTTTGAAAAATAGAGGTTACATATTCTTAAAAACACATGAGCACCAACTAGAGGATAACTGTAAGTGAAGAATATATTTAATTCATCCTAGAATTTAACTTCCCTAGAAGTTCACATGAGAGTTCTGTTCCCCTCAGTCCTATTTATGCTCAGAATTACTATGCCAGCTCCTTGTTCCAACATCCCATCACTACTGCAGTTCTGAAAAGCAGCCACCCAAGACTGTTTGGGAAATTTCTACCATTTCTAGAAGAAAGTGAGAATATCCTAAGAGTGTCATCCTGTTGGAAAATCCTACCACTACTATGAATAATGTCTAGGATGGGATTGCTAATCCCATGGAAGGGAGAGATAGTACATACACCTAGAAATGATTAGAATGGATGACAAAAAGAACAGAAGATCCCAGAAGGGAAGGAAACAGTTCCAGTAGGTTTTCATGAGGACACTATGACTTCCTACTGTTGCAAGCCAAAAGAGTGAGGGTCATGATCAGCTCTGTATACCACTGGAGGCTATATGAGTAAACAGCAAACTGTTCTCATGAAAGCAGGATGTTGGCAAACTGACAAACTGAGTCTGTGGTCCAGAAGGAATACTGAGGGCAGTCACAACCCAGGCACAAGTGTTTCTTGTGAATAGACACATCTGAAGCCTGTTAGCAATAATGTGAACCTGTGATCAGTCAAGCAGCTGACCAGTCGTTACCTCCTCCTCCCTGCTCTTTCTACCCAATAAATACGAAGGGCTGTAAAGGCTCAGGGCTGCTGTGTTTGCTCACCAGAAGCAGGGAGCCCTCTTCTTCCCCCCGACAGATCCCTTCATTAAAACAGTTTCTTTTAAGTTTTCATTTCTGGGTTCATCCCCCTTCATTCAGTCCCGTGGTAACCATGGCAAAGCACAGCATCCTACTGCCTCAGTAACTCAGGTTTGGGGGTTGGTTGGTTGGTTTTTCCCATGGCTTAAGTATATAACCATGGTTTGAGGGTTGACCTATAATCTGATCCTACATTACAGCAGACACAATTGAGAGAGGAAACAAATCTATTTCACTCAACAGAGTTGGGCTGAGATTACTTAAAGTGAAACCATGTTTAAAATTCTAAGTATTGTTATATGAAGAGGTCTCCAAGGTAAAAACTTGAAAGAGTATGTCTATAAAAGTCCAAAGAAACTATTTCTAAATGAAAATGTTGAGTGCTTTAAAATGCGAACTCTCAGGCAAAGGGCAATCCTTTTTTAGATACACTTTGAATTTGGCAATTTGAAGGGTTAGATCTTATTTGAAGGGTTAGATCTTAGAAAAAGGGTGTCCAATCTTTTGGCTTCCCTGGGCTACATTTGAAGAAGTATCTTGGGCCACACATAAAATACACTAACACTAAAGATAGCTGATGAGAAAAAAAAAAAAAAGTCCTCACATTTTAAGAAAGTTTACAAATTTGTGTTGGGCCACATTCAGAGCCATCTAGGCTGCGAACTGTCTGCAGGCCGCATGTTGGACAAGCTTGTCTTAGAGGCTTAGGCTTTCTCATGCAGAGCTGCTGTTGTCAAATACTAGAAGACAAAGCGTAAGGTTCCTGTGATACTCCACATCATGGAATTTCATGGTAATGAACCACAGCATAAAGCCAGGGTACTTTGTGGTTCATGTAAGTATTTCCACAACAGACTCAAAACCTTCAGAAAATGTTTCTAAGCAGTATTATTTTATCACTCAGAAATCCATTACATGAGTACCTCAAAGATTTGTGGCAAGGACATGTGTTCTTGACGGTTACAGTCCACAGGGGAACCTGGTGTCTGCAGATCCCAGATCTCTCCCTTTGCCAATCAAATGAGCTAGGAACTTCAGGTCAATACAAGACAAAAGGTAAACTAGAATAACAAGGAGTTTTTAGATTGTACACCCCAATGCCAAACTCTACAGATTCCCACCTGGAAGCTATTTCCTAAGACATCCAAATAGCAAATACTGAACTATTTGCTACTAATACATCTGGCCATTCAAAGGGTCCTGCACATAGATAAACTAAAGAAATTTTGTTTGCCTACTACCATAAGCAGTTTTGAACTTCATATAAATATGGGACTTAAAAAATATCCTTTTCTCCTCTTTCTTTCTAGAACTGGCTTCAGATTTATAGTATTCCATTTATGTTGCTATATTAGAATGACAGTGGTACATTTCATGTTTTGACCAAAAACTATTGGAACATAGTGTTGAACATAAGTACCTTAAAAAGTACTTAACTGCCCCCTCCCCCATATCAAAGTAAAGATAGCTTAAAAACAAAACAAAATTGTCTCTAACTAGACAATTCTGAGCATCATCCTCATGCCACAGACATATCTACTCCCTTTATATGAAATGAATGCTTATTCATTTGAATCCAATCCACAAGTCTTATTAAAAAAAAAAAAAAACTCTCTACCTTGATTCTTCAGAAATTCTGAATTCACATGTCCCCTTGATCAAGAAAAAAAGAAAAGTGGTTTACTCTGGTTTTCATGATTTCTACTTCCCAAAGGTATTTGAGGCTTCAATTTTCAAATCAATTAGGAAGTTAAAGTCTCCATGTCTCTCATCAAAGAAAAATGAACAGAACTTGTTACAATTATATCCCCCAAACTGATGTGAAAGCCCTGGAGATTAAGCAGATGCACAGAGGTTCTCTAATAAACCTTGTAACATTAACAAAATGAATACCTTAGATGACATTCTGCAAACCATGTGTTATCAGTCAGCCCTGGTAACCCATTCATCTAGCCACAATGATGCCTGGGATTTGGGTGAAAGTGTTTCCAGCACAACTTTGTTGGTTGGGCTAATGGGAGACTTGCATGAAGTAACTTTCTTAGATGCACAGAAATCCAGCTTGAGTCTACATTGGGATTCACACACACATAAGAAATGAGTGAACAGGAACTCTGTTGTTGGAAATTTTTGCTCTGTTTGTTTGGGGGAAGGTTCCTGAAAAAGAATAATGAAATGGTTTTGCAGACACATCCAGGAAGAGGCTGTGACTGGCAGAACAGACTGCTTTCAACTTCAGGTATGGGTCATAGTACCAGTCCCATAGAAAGAAGAACTGCTGACGGGCACAAGAAATGTTTCTCCAGAGCCCAACAGACAAAATATAACTGCAAAGAGGAAGAGAAGCATTCTCCTCACATGTGACCTGGTGCAGCCTCCTCACAATGAGAAACGCAGGTATCCCGGCACCCTACGGGCACTTTGGAAGGGCTTCCAGAGCACATGGTGCCGGTTCTTTGAATGCTGAGACCAGTATCCATATAGCACTCCCACTCAGGCACTACCCCTACTTGACTTCCTGGGATTTGGACTCCAGTAAGGGGAGCTAGAGTGAGGAAAATAAGAAAGGACTGCTTGAAGGTATAGCTAGAGGCCCAGAGTTACACCAGTGGGTAGAAAGCAATACTACAGTTTATTATGTATTATCAACAAGCTGGTAAGCCTGGGGAAACTTAGCTTAGAAATCAAAAGCAATTGGGTTTTAAGTTTGTTTCTACAAGGAGTAAGAGAGAATATTAAAGAAAATCAGACGGGCAGTTTGGAGGAAGAGAATGAAAACTTGTAATCAATAAGGTGACTTATATTACCCAGAATCATGCTCATACAGGAACTCTTATAAAATGAATCCATTCTTAGGAGGACTGAAAGGCATTCCAAGGGACCAGCTTTGGTGCTGAAGTTAATATGACCCTCAAAGCAAAAGCAAGTAAACCACTGCAATTTGGTGTAAAAAGCATGGCTATCATCTACCCTCCCACACTTCATTTCCTCAATTTTAAATAAAAACATTCCTTACCCTTCAATTTACAGCGAACAATTTAATTTCCTAATTAATGAGAATACACACGCTACCCACAAACTTCTGAGAAACCCTCTCCCAACCCTATGGTATCCTGTGGCAAGGATAATATTGGGTAGCAAGCAAATCTCGAGCACCAGCTTCTGAGGCTTCCCTTAAAGTGTCGGTTTCAACCTCCCTCTCTCATCTGACCACAAAACAGACCTGCTTCCCGTGGCATCGGAAGTTGGCAGCAGCAACAAGAGACAGTATTTCATTTAGAAGGAAGTGGAGAGGAAGGTAGGCCCCATTTAGGTTCCCCTTACAATTCCAACTCTTCAGCCACCATTAAGTTTAGAATCGTGGACAGAAAAGAAGATGGTCTTGGAGATGAGAGAGATGCTCTTATTAAGAATCATTATCCCCTTGTCAGTATTTTGACGGTCTAATATTCTCTCTCTCTCAAATGTCAACCCTCTCCATTCTGAGAGCCATGTATCACACATGTGTGGTTTGAAAATTTGCACACTATCTACACAGATCCTGTGTCTGGGATGGTAGCTGTCATTCATTGGTCAAAGTTACCATCTTCTGTCACCTTCTTGACCACCTGGTTTTCTCAAATAATATCCTACAGTTATGGCTCACATCCCATGCATCCAAACAGATGTTTGTCCCGTTAACAGATGTTGATGTCCCATCAAACAGATGTTTGACCCCTGCATGCTCATTCTCACTCTGGATTTCATGTCTACGTGAACAGTCCCTCTTCTTGCAGTGACCCTTTCTCTAGTTCTCTGCTAGGAAAAAGAAATTTATATACATGAATGCCCAGAACAATTATCACCTCTATGAATCCTCCCTCCACTGGCCTTTCTAAAGAGCATCTGCCTGTATAGTAATGACCTGGCATGCTGATATACATGAATTAATTGTGTATGTGTCCAGCTCCCTGAACAAGGTTCAAGACGTTGATTTCGTCCCTTTTGGTAGTGAAGATAATTAGAATCTCTTGGCTGAATCATCACTCTAACTATAGTCTACTGGTAGAGAGGGGCCCACCATGGTCCAGAACTCAAGAGAAAGGCATGGTTCCAGTATATTGAGTGCTGTGGTTCAGTTACCCTTTCACACTGCTGCGCTTTAAGCAACAGCTAAGGTTGTGAATTTAAACAGCTGATATCTTGGCATGTGGCACTACCTATGCAGAGATCTGGACCTGCAAGGATATTATCACTCCAGCAGATGAGAATCCACTTGTCTGTGAGAAGCCATGGGTACACTATGTGACAGAGATGGAGAAAAGGCAGAAGCATGCTAATATGACTTTTCAGTCTTTTCCTGACCTTTTTGGGTAAAATAATACACTGGATTTTTTTTTTCGGAGAAACTAATAGAGGAGGCAGATGATATCTGAAGGGCTCAAAGATTAGCTGGAAAATAAAAAATAGTACCTATATTTGTCAGGATAGGCTGAATTATGTTACAGGAACAGCAACTCCAAATCTCAGTGGCTTAAAACAACAAAGGTTCATTTCTCTTCCATGCTATATTTCAACTGTGGGTCAATAGTGGACTCTGTTCCTTTCAATCATTGAGGAACCCAGGCTGACAAAGAAGCCACTGTATCAAGCATTTATCAGTCCACCATGCCAAGGAAAATGAGAGCTCTTCAAGGTCTCAGGCAGGATACAGAATGCTCTGGCCTGGAAATGACATACAACCCTCTGTTTGTGGCACCATGGCCAGATCTAGTCTTCATCCCACCCCTCTATAAGAAAGCCAGAAAGTGAATCCTGCCACATTGCCAAAAGTCAGAAAGCTGGAAATATTTGGTAAACAGCACTGATGACTACCACATGACCTTATTTGTACCTCAAGCTTGTAAAGTAGATCACACTTGTTACAATAAATTGAATTATATTTTACTGTTAACTGAATCAAATGCATATTGCTCATAGATGTTTCCATATCCAGTCTGAAAGATTCTAGGAAAAAAAAAACTTATCTGAACTTGAAGTTGTACAACAATTGCACAGTTCTATCTCCAAGATGTTTTGCTGAGGAAGTTAGGCTAGAACAATTCCCTGTTTGATAAATAATTTGGGAAAAATTAACCTACCTATTAACAATCTGATTTTTATATGTTAAGGATTTTCTTTTGGAGAAACAGAATCCGATGGAAAACAGAGATTCATTAGGATAACAAAAAGATATAAGTTCTAGTTCCTATCTTCTTACCTACTTGCTGTATAACTTTGAAGCCCTGTGCTTCAATATTTCTACCCAGAAATAGACAACATGATTTCATTCAATTATCAAATAGTCATTTCGCATCCACTGGATGCAGCCACTAGGTTGCATTGGTAATACAGCGATTAAGGGGGAAGATACATGATACTTGATCTCATGGATCTTCTAATCTGCTTGCTACTAGTTACAGAAATCACTTGATTCTAAATAATAGATTGTGTTAATACAGGAATAAATGTGCATAGTACAAAAATTACCAAGACTGTCACTAGTCTGTTCAATGCACCAGTATAAGAGCCCTTAAAAGGAGGTAATAGGGAAGACAAGTGACAGGAAGGCAACGAATACAAGAGGCAAATGTAAACTTTAACACTTCATATATTAGCTGAAAGAAGATCTCCATCCATCCACATCTACCAGACCCCCAGTGTTCAATGAAACACATGTCCAAGTTTCCAAAGATATATAAAGCCAAACCTGCCACATAGTGTGTGGCCCATTCATGGAGGAGAAGAGTCATATTTTCTTGGGTAGTTGATAGGACCTTAAGTTCTCCTTTGACTTCCTAGGTATTCAACTTGAAATAATTTGTGCATGTTTAAAGGATCCCATTTCCTAAATGAAAATTTACATTGCAGCAGTAATATTCAATGTTACCAAAGTGACCTCTATACATTCAGGAAAGCGGTGGCAGAATTTTATCTGTGGCTGTCTGGTCCTTTTAATATCGGTAGTACCAATATGGTTTCCAAGGACATGATGTACTCCCAGTGCCTATTGTAATTTTATTTTTTAGCTATTTTTATTGGAATGAATGAATAAACTATTAAAATACAAAGAATCCTTTTATAACTATAAAGGAAATGTGTAAAAAGCAATGAAAAGGATAAGAAATGGTTTCTAAATTGAACAGTTTGTTTTATTATTAACAATAACAATAAAGTAAGTCACACAGCTCATAAGTCCTCCCAGATGAGACATCTGTGGGATTCTCTAGTTTGAAAAGAAACTTAGCTTATAAACATGTCAGCCATGTCCCGAATAAAATGAGGATTTCGCACTACATGGAAATGAAACTATTTGTTCTTCAACATGTCCAAGATTCAGTGTTATTTTAAGATGCTTTTCCTTCCAATTAAATAGGACATGTTTTCCATCAGCTGCAGAGGGAAAAGGTACCAGTAACTTTGATGAATATAAATTGCTTAAGCTACTAAACTTAAGATCATAGGCTGTCAACCACTGATACAAAATCTAAATCCAATCCAGCTCACAGTGTAAAGAGTCTGAACCTTTGTTAGCAAAGATCATCTCCATATTCTGGTTACCACATTTGACCTTTAATGAGTTGGGACAGCTAAATGATTTTGAAGATGGGAGTGGTGTAACTAGTTATAACTGTAACTAGTTCCTAAAAATTTACCGTACTTTTTTTTTTTTTGTGGCATGAAAAAGAAAAGAAAAAAGAAAGGAGAGAGGTGTATTTAGTAGCCATTGAGATACACAACATAAAGGGAGTTAGTGAAAGCTTCTCTTTTTCCATGCCCCTGTCCCAGAAACAATGTGAGGACTTGTCCTCTGCCTCTAAGGTGATGTCAGTTTTATCAATGACAACGTGTCAATTAAATGCTCCCAACTTTGTATGCAATGCTTTTCAACTTTCACTGACTCTATTCGACTCTCTTCTCTGCTCACGGCAATAATGAATCATGATATATTACAACAAAAATTAAAGAAGCACAATACACTTCCTGAAGGCTCCACAAATGGGAAGAAGGGAATGGAAAGAATGTGGCCTTCAGCATCATACAAATCCATCACTTAAGAGCATTATGACCTCGGTCAAACTATTTCACTTCTGCCGAGGAAGTGGGGGGCATTTTCATCAACTATAATATGGAGGACAATAGTTTTTCACAGAGTTGTGGCGGATAGTATAAACATAATATATTTTGAAGCACCTAGCACAGGGTAATTTTTAAATTTTTTGGTTTCTTACTTAGAATATTAAATATACAGAGAATTATTTTTTTTCTGATGTCTTATGCAACCTCTTTTTTCATATTCAGGGCCAATGGCTACCCTAAAGTAAAATGATTCATTCATGACAGAAAAAAGGAGACTTTGCCCATAAACTTCTCCTAAACTATTATAGAAATGATGCTTTGAGGATCTCATCTTCATTCTAAACGTAGCAGAGTGGCTTGAAGGGTTAAGGTGAGCAGGGAAGCCGAGCAGATGGGGCTTTGAGTTTCTCTCCCTACTTCAACCAAAGCAGCTGCACTGTGTTCTGTTTTACATTGACCATGCATAAATGTGGGATTTGGGAAATTCACCAATGATGTCCTACTTCTTTATTGTCTTGTTAGTGCCACACAGGACCTGACTAAAATCCTGTGAAGAGAGGAGGGGTGTCCCCAGCTGTTCTCACTGTGCATAATCCTGGAAGAAGTTCATGGTAAGAGATTCACAGGTAAATCTGGGGCCATAGTTTGACTCAGACTCCTCATTTTATAGAGGAGAAAATTGAGGCATAGGGAGGTTAATTAACTTGCCCAAGTGAGCTAATTAAATCATTTGAGAGCATGTTGAAATGGGCAAATTCCTAGCAACTTGGCAAGTGGAGGTTCCTGTCATAATAACTGGATATGAAAAGGAAGGGCGATCACATTTCATAATTATGGTAGAGATGACTTGGGTAGAACAGATAATATATTGGGATTTTACATCATATTTTTTTTTTTTTACTTTTTTTTTTTTTATACTTTAAGTTTTAGGGTACATGTGCACATTGTGCAGGTTAGTTACATATGTATACATGTGCCATGCTGGTGCGCTGCACCCACTAACTCGTCATCTAGCATTAGGGATCTCTCCCAATGCTATCCCTCCCCTCTCCCCGCACCCCACCACAGTCCCCAGAGTGTGATATTCCCCTTCCTGTGTCCATGTGATCTCATTGTTCAATTCCCACCTATGACTGAGAATATGCGGTGTTTGGTTTTTTGTTCTTGCGATAGTTTACTGAGAATGATGATTTCCAGTTTCATCCATGTCCCTACAAAGGACATGAACTCATCCTTTTTTATGGCTGCATAGTATTCCATGGTGTATATGTGCCACATTTTCTTAATCCAGTCTATCATTGTTGGACATTTGGGTTGGTTCCAAGTCTTTGCTATTGTGAATTACATCATATTTTATCTGGAAAATCATAGTGAGATTTTGTTGTTGTTGTTGTTTGTGAGACAGAGTCTCAGTCTGTCACCCAGGCTGGAGTGCAGTGACGCAATCTCAGCTCACTGCAACCTCCACGTCCCAGGCTCAAGTGATTCTCCTGCCTCAGCCTCCCAAGTAGCTGGGATTACAGGAGTGTACCACTGCACTGACTAATTTTTGTATTTTTAGTAGAGATGAGTTTCACCACGTTGGCCAGGCTATTCTCAAATTTCTGACCTCAAATTATCTGCCCTCCTCGGCCTCCCAAAGTGCTGGGATTACAGGCATAAGCCACCATGCCTGGCCCATACTGATATATTTTAACTCAAAAATCTTCTTTGACACTCTTTATTACTGTTTTATTAGAGTGTTCTCAAACTTTCTTATTCATGAAACACTCAGGCCACTCTTGAAGGCAACAATTGTACATTGTCCTTTGCCAATGCCCATTTTCTAGTTGCCAACAAAATCCATCTACTGCCCCTAAAATCACCAACCAAGGATAATACGGTTTGACCATGCCTACCTCTCTGGCACTGGTTGCTGGGCATGTGGGATGGTGTGGGTTTGGGGAGGCAACGGAGAGAAATTGTTAAACCAGTAGAAAAGGGAGAGGGGTTCCCACTAGAATCCCACGGGCTCTAGGCCAAGGACAGAGCTGGGTGTTCAGCTCCTCCCCTGCTCTGGATTCCAAGGCGAAGTCAGCCTCTGTGACTCTGAACTCTTAAGTTTTACTGGCCTTCACCTTCTTACCTGGCCATATCCTTCATAATCATTGACTTCTTCCCCTTTGTGTCCTACCAGCCGCTCAGAATCTGACCCAAAGCTATGCTTTTCTCCTAGGCCCTGGTCTGGTTCGATCACCTGGCACTTACTTGTGCCCTTAATTCTAAACAGGATATTTCACTTAGTTCTTTAGACAGCCTTTTGATGCAAAGTGTCAAAATGTAAAAATTACTATTTATCACTGATAAATGTGTACAACTGATATCCCTGACCTCTAGGGACCATACCCAAGACCTAGAGATGGGAAACAGCAATGGGATGAAGATCTCTCTTTACCTCCTTGATCATGGGGAAACAAAACAAAACATAGACTTGCTACTACCTCTTTTTTTGTTTTGGTACACATCAAAATATCTCAGTCAAAACCATATTCAAAATGTTGCCTGGCTCAGGGTAAGCACCTCCTCAGCAGAACCCAAATACGGAATCTAAAAACAAATCAGAAAGCCCCTGGCACTACTTTACTTCTAAGTTTACTACACATTCTCCAAATATCACACAGTCCTCCATTCCATATGCATGTCCCTAGATTAGCAATCTTGCAATTTATAGTATACGAAGTTTCCAACCTCCTTTATTCACCTTCATCATTCCTCTAGCCCTTCCCTGCATGCTCTCTACCCACAATCCCTCTGCTCAGGGCGTGCAGACCCAGACAGTCAACCGGAGAGGATGGATGTCTCTTCCAGACAAACAACCAGTGCTCTAAGGATGCCTCATCTTATGGTCTGCAAATCCAGGAGCAGCAGTCACCATTATTTTATTTGAATCTCTGCCACAAAATAATAAGAGAGACAATGGGACCTCATCCCTATCCTATGGGACCTCAGTTAACAATAGCTAAATTGGACGGCCCATAATTATGATGATTAGCAATTCCTGAGGGTGAAAGTGATCTTAGAGAGAATCTAAGCCAACATTTCAACTCATATTTAAACCTGTTGTTTAATATTACCATACATTTGTCTTCTAATGTAAATTTGACACTTTCTACAGTAAAAAAATTCTGTCTTTTTGCAAAGTTTTTCTATATTTTGTGCCAAGAAATATAGGCATACCTTGGAGATATTACAAGTTTGGCTCAGACCATTGCAAAAAAAGCAAATATCACAATAAAGCAAGTATTGTAATAAAGTGAATATCAAAATAAAATAAGTCACATGAATTTTGTGGTTTCCAGTGCATATAATAGTTATGTTTACACTATATTGAACATTATTAAGTGTGCAATAGCATTACGTCTAAAAAATACATCTTAATTTAAAAATATTTTATTGCTAAAAAATGCTAACAATCATCTGTTCCATCAGCACATCATAACCTTTTTACTGGTGGAGGGTCTTGCCTTGATGTTGATGGCTGCTGACTGATCAAAGCGGTGGCTGCTGAAAATTGGAGTGGCTGTGGCAATTTCCTCAAATAAGAGAACAATGAAGTTTACTGCATTGATTGACTCTTCCTTTCACAAAAGATTTCTCTGTTACATGCGATACTATTTGATAGCATTTTACCCACAGTAGAATTTTCAAAATTGGCATCAATTCCCTCAAATTTTGCCACTGCTCTATTAACTAAATTTATGAAATATTTTAAATCCTTTGCTGTCGATTCAGTAATGTTCACAGGATCTTCACCAGGAATAGATTCCATCTCAATAAATTGCTTTCTTTGCTCATCCATAAGAAGCAACTTCTCATCCATTCACGTTTGACCATAAGATTGCAGAAATTCAGTGACATCTTCAGGCTCCACTTCTAATTTTAATCCTCTGTTATTTCCACCACATCTGCAGTTACTTCCTCTACTGAGGTCTTGAGCCCCTCAAAGTCATCCATGCATGCTGGTATCAAATTATTCCAAACCCTGATTAATATTGGTATTTCAACCTCCTCCTATGAATCACGAATGTTCTTAATGGCATATAGAATGGTGAATCCTTTCCAGAAGGTTTTTAATTTCTTTTGCCCAGATCCATCGGAGGAATCACTATTTATGGCAGCCACAACCTTATGAAATGTATAAAAATTGCTCCTTGATCCATGGGCTGCACAATGGATGCTGTGTCAGTAGGCATGAAAGCAATATTAATTTCCCTACACATCTCCATCAGCGCTCTTGGGTAATGAGGTACATTGTCAATGAGAAATAATATTTTAAAATAATTTTTTTTTCTGAGCACTAGGTCTCGACAGTGGTCTTAAAATATTCAGTAAACCATGCTGTAAACAGACGCAGTGTAATCCAGGCTTTGTTGTTCCATGTACGGAGCACAGGCAAGGTAGATTTGACATAATTCCTAAGGGCCCTAAGATTTGCAGAATTGTCAAGGAGCATTGGCTCCACCTTAAAGTAACCAGCTACATTAGCCCCGACAAAGGAGTCAGCCTGTCCTTTGAGCTTTGAAGCCAGGAACTGACTTCTCTCTAGCTTTGACAGTCCAGATGATATCTTCTTCCAACAGAAGGCTACTTTGAATACCGTAATAATCTGTTGTTTAGTGTAGCTACCTTCATCAATTATCTTAGCTAGATCTTCTGGATAACTTGCTGCAGCTTCTACATCAGCACCTGCTACTTCATTTTGCACTTTTATGTTATGAAGATGGCTTCTTTCCTTTACTTCCTTCCTTTACATTCACAATTTGGCTGTTTGGCATAAAAGGCCTATGTTTTGGCCCATACTGGCTTTCTACATGCTTTGTTCACTAAGCTCAATCATTTCTAGCTTTTGATTTAAAATGAAAAATGTGTGGCTATTCCTTTCACTTGAACACTTCAAGGCCAATATAGGGTTATTAATTAACCAAATATTAATATTATCGTCTTTCAGGAAATAGGAAGGCCCAATGAGAGGGAGAGAGATGGGGAACAGCTGATCACTAGAGCTGTCAGAACACATATTTATTAAGTTCGGCATCTTCTAGGAGTGCAGTTCATAGTGCCTCAGAATAATTACTACAGTAACATCAAAAATCACTAAACACAAATCACCATAACAGATATACTAATGATGACAAAGTTTGAAATATTGGGAGAAATACCAAAACGTGACACAGAGACACAAAGTGAGCATATGTTCAAACATTGGCACCAGTAGATTTGCTCAACACAAGGCTGCCACAAAACTTCAATGTGTTAAAAAAGCAATATCTGCACACTGTAATTAAGTGAAGTACAATGAAATGAGGCATTCCTTGTAGTTAGAAATGAGCAAAGATCAAAAGAATATATCCAAAATGCCTGAAATACATTAGAGGATCTAAAATGCATGTAACATTAACAAATTTACCATTTTGTTATTTGGTTTAAGTTTTCACTAACTTAAGAAATATATTTATGGAGATATTAACATTACTATAACACAATTAAGAGTAAATTATCTGGCCTTACTTATGTCTACTTTTGCTCTCCCTATATATCTGTTATGGCCTGAATGTGTTCCCCAAAATTAATGTGCTGGAAATTTAATTTAATCACCAATGCAACAACATTGGGAGGTGGGGCCTAATGGGATGTGTTTACATATTGAGGGCTCTGCCTTCATTAATGGATTAAAGCCACTATAAAAAGGGCTTCTGGAATCCGTTTGCTCTCTTCTGGTCCTTTACCATGTGAGGACTTGGCATTCCTACCCTCTAGAATGGCAGGGAGCATCTTGGAAGGCTGATCAAGGCAGCATCTTGGAAGCAGAGAAACTGGCCCTAAGATGCTGGTGCCTTAATCTTTGACTTCTCAGCCTCCAGACTCTGAGAGAATAAATTTCTGTTCTTTATAAATTACCCAGTCTCATGCATTGTTAAAGTAGCAGAAAATAGATAAAGATAATATTTTAAAGTGGAATTATAAGAAGAAAAAGGAGGTACATAAGAAAATATTGTCTTGGCTCACAGTCTTAAGGATACACACACAAGCACACACACACACACACATATATGTACATATTTAAACAATACTACAAGATTACTAAACAGAGTGACAAGCTGCTATGACACCAATTACTGGTTTTGTATCAGTTTAGAAAAAATTTTATTTAGATTATTTTAATTAGATCATACTTTGAAAATGTGCTACATGTTGATGTATAATTATATATTTATTTGTACAAAACAGAATTATTTCCTAGCAAGCAAAAATATCAGATATGAGTTTTCTCTGCAAATGTATGCATATTACTCCAGATTCTAAGGAAAATGGCAAGCAAATGACAGATAAAAACAAAGAAGAAAAAAATAACATTTGTTAAGTGCTTTATAGCCTTCAAACTGTTTTCAGATTCATTACCTCAAATTCCACAATAGTAGATGAAATTCATTCAAAGAATAACATATCCTGTAATTTACATGTTCCCTAGTGACACTATTTTAAGATTAACCAGGATTATTGCAGTATTATTAAATATGATGGTATTAAACCTTGAACCTAGAGAAATGCTTAAAGCAAAGAATCAAATGAAATGCTTAAATCATAATCATTAATTAATATTGTTTATAGTTCTTTATTAAGATTAATCACTCTTGAAACCTAAAACTCTAATCGTTAGAAATGTGACCATGGGAAAGTTAGAATTCTGTATGTCACCTCTTCAATTATAAAACACAGATAACCCCTTACCTCCTGTAGATAATGGACCAGGAGAGTTAATACTTTGAGGTCCTCTCTGCCTAAAAATTATACTAATCTATAGTTTTATGAATACATAACAAAACTAGTGAACACAGAGTGATATAAGACCTTCAGGAAGTTTATTTCGCATGCAGCGCACCAGCATGGCACATGTATACATATGTAACTAACCTGCACAATGTGCACATGTACCCTAAAACTTAAAAGTATAATTAAAAAAAAAAAAAGAGAATTTTCTTAGAAATACAAAAGGAGGGCTGGGCGCAGTGACTCACACCTGTAATCTCAGCACTTTGGGAGGCCGAGGCGGGCAGATCACTTGAGGTCAGGAGTTTGAGACCAGCCTGGCCAATTGGTGAAACCCTGTCTCTACTAAAAATACAAAAATTAGCCGGGCATGGTGGCACACGCCTGTAATTCCAGCTACTCAGAAGGCTGAGGCAGGAGAATCGCCTGAGCCTGGGAGGCGGAGGTTGCCATGAGCTGTGATTGCACCACTGCACTCCAGTTTAGGCGGCAGAGTGAGACTCTGTCTGGAAAAAAAAAAAAAAAACAGAAAGAAAGAAGAAAAAGAAATATAAAAGGAGGATATAAATATATCTGTTTAAAAGATATCCATTTTACTGTTGTCTCATACAAGTGATTTATATAAGTGAAATATGAGTGAAAATGAAAATTCCATTATGTATTGAAAAATTTTAAAGCAAGCTTTAAAAGGATTGATGATTTCATATGGTAGCTATTTTCATTTAAACACAATAAAAGGAAAATGGGATAAGTCATATGACATCTTACCAATCATGTTAATTAAAACATCACTTCCTCTTTCACCTCCAACTGCTTTGCCATGGCAATGACAAATAAACACTAAATTGAATAAACATTTAATGTGTCAACTCATGTTAAATGCAAATTTAACTGCTTTAGGTACACACACACATCACTTTTATGAATTTTTAATTTCTACATCATTTTTCTATTATATGTGTTGTATATATTTATATATCTATCATAAATATGAAGACATGTTTAGACACAAGAATTTTAGAATTATTTATTTTTCAAAATAGCCTGGTTACAATAACTTAACATATTGAGAAAATAAACTTGGATCTACTTGTAAGTCTGTCTTTGTTTATCATTCAACTTTACTGATGTGCAATTTATATACAGTAAAATTCACCCCTTTTTGTTCACAGTTCTCTGAGTTTTGACAAATGTATAGTCATGTAACCACTACTACCATCAAGATACACACTATTTTCATCATGTCCCCCAAAAAATCTGTTGTGTCTCTTTATAGTTAATCCCTGCCTTTCACTGCCAGCTCCTGGCAACTCCTGAGCCTGTTTTCTGTCTCTATAATTTTGCCATTTCTAGAACGTCATACAAATGGAATATACAGTATATAGCTCTTCACCTCTGGCTTCTTTCACTTAGCATAATACATTTGTGATTCATCCATGTTGTTACATATATCTGTAGTTCTGTTACTTTTCAAATTTGTAAGTGGTATTCCATTGATTGGATGTATTCCATTATTTGTTTACTCATTTACCAGTTAAAAGACATTTAGGCTATTTCCTACTTGTAAGTCTTTCTAAACATGGCAGATCATAAGGCAGCACAGTATTGTGGTTAAAAGCTTAGGTTTTTGAGCTAGACAGATATGAGTTCCAATCTCAGGTCCAATATCAACTTGTACCTTTGAGCAAATTACTTATATTCTTCGAGTTAGAGTATTGTTGTGAAGATTAAACTAGTATGTGGCCTGTAAATTGGTAAGTGTCTGCTGTTATTATTACTACTGTCCCTAGTGCTCAAACTCTGCTCTACTTCCAGTCTTGAAACTAATCCCAAATTTAACACTGTCAATCACCTCAGAGCTTTTACTATATTCCTTACTTAAAACACCTCACCCCTTCTCTCTGCTTCCCTTCTGCAAGACCCAAGTTCCTCTTCCTCCAGGAGGACTTCTCTAACTCACAGTTCACATTTAGATTGCCATTCTGCACATTCTTAGAGCATGCATCATCCAGTCTGGCAGCCACTACTTACATGTGGCTTTATACATTTAAATTAATTACAGTTAAATAAAATTTAAATCCAGTTCCTCAGTCACAGAAGCCACACTTCAAGTGCTCAAGCAAAACGGCTAGTGGCTGCCATATTGGGCAATGAGGATATAGAATATTTTAATCATCATAGTGATTTCCATTTTAAGTTCTAAGTTAAAAACATTGCCTAACACTTAAAACTATATAATTCTATATAGAACAGGAAAAACTAATAATTAGCAGACATCGACTGAGCTCCTATTCTGTGCAAGACATTCTACCTTAAGCAATGATACAGCATCTTTTAGGGGATCTTGAACCACCTGGACAATTATATTAAAAAAATTTAAAAGAAGAAATGATTACCAAGGTCTGGCAGGTAAAAGAAAAAAAATAATAAGTCATTGAAATTTAGAAGTTGGCCAGGCACAGTGGCTCTCACCTGTAACCCTAGCACATTGGAGGCCAAGACAGATGGATTGCTTGAGCCCAGGAGTTCAAGACCAGCCTGGGCAACGTGACAAAACCCTCATCTCTACAAAAAATACAAAAATCAGCCAGGTGTGGTGGTGCACACCTGTAATCCCAGGTACTTGAGAGGCTGAGGTAAGAGAATCACCAGAACCTGGGAGGTCGGGACCACAGTGAGATATAATCACACCAATACACTCTAGCCGGGGTGCCAGAGTGAGATCCCGTCTCAAAAAACAAAACAAAAAAGTTTAGAGGCATGTGTGGTGGCTCACGCCTGAAATCCCAACACTTTAGGAGGCCAAGTGGGGTAAGATGGGTTGAGCCTAAGAGTTCAACACCAGCCAGGGAAACATATCAAGATCTCGCCTCTACAAAAAATAAAGTAATTGTCAGGGAGGCTGAAGCAGGAGGATCCACTTTGTCAAAAGATCTACAGAATCACAAAACGATGTTCTTCCTAGATTTGTCTCAAGCTAAAGGTGTCTCAAGGAAAAAGTAAGCTTTTAAAGTCCAAACCTTGAATGAGAAAATAATTGTGTTTTCAGAGAAGAAGGCAAAACAAAGACGACAACAACGAAACCTGACTGCTGGAAGACTCATTTCAGAATATACCTTAAAAAGCCACTATATGTCTCATGAATCAATCCAGATACTATATCACCCACCCCTCTGGCACAAGGTTATGACTCACTGTCTGAAACCACAATGCTTATAGAATCCTCAAACGTTCAAGGATAACTACATTTGGTTCAAGTCAGCAATAGAAAGGGAGCTCATTAAGAATTCCCCATTTTCCCCACTACAGTCCCTTACCATTAGAATCCACCTACAACTGCCAGAGCTGATGGGATCATTCCAATTTCATCTTCTCAAGGAGGATTCTGAGAACTATTGAAGGGTGAGTTTAAAGGTGAATCATCAAAGCCAGTTTAAATGTTTTGAAAAGATTAAGGCATGAAATTATCATTTACAATGCACTTGCCTTAGAAGATCCTGGTTTTCTACTTTTCCATTTACACAAGAATGTCAGGAGATCCTCCTGAGAGGAAGCAGAATGTTAAGATACCCTGGGAAGTCAGAGTCATTACTATCACTCCCAAGGCAGCTATAATGGCAGGAGAAAAGTATCCAGTGTAAATAGTTCGCCACAGTGGAGCCTTATGTTACTGTATATACAACATGGGATTTGGAACAATATCCATATGCCAATCCCAGCTCTATCACCATCTAGCTCTATCACCTCATTTAATTCCTTAGTTTCTCCTGTCATCAGTTTATTCATCTGTAAACTGGGGTAACACTGTCCTTAATTACTTTGATGGAGTGTTGTGATGGTCAAATGAGATAATGGCTGGGAAAACACTTTGCAATCTGTAGATCACTATGCACATGGGAACTATTATCTGGTCTTTTCCCCTAAAACACTGCTCCTTGGAGTTCACTTAGCCTGGGATTTTCCAACTTCACTTCTAAAAGAACATTTTTGGAGCTACTCAAATGAAGACTTAGACAAAATATGAGTATCTGTTTTCTGCTTTTTTTCTGATCCAAGGAACTTTCTTCCTTTCACAGATTTAGCTCTTTATGTCATTAACTAAATTTAAATCATGCCTAAAGACTTACTTGTTTGGCAGCACAGTTTCATATCCTGTTTGGTTTGATTTTTAAAATTCTTTTGTAAAGCACTCCAAGATGTTTGCATGAAGATCACTCAACAAATGGAAGCCTCTCTCGAATAATACACACACAAGGACACACCCACATCAATGAGAAGAAACATAATACAGACTTTTGTTAACTTGATAAAACAAGTGCTCAAAAAACAATTCCTAAAATTACATTCGACGCCACACTGTATGACCTTTTCTTGACTGAGAGAGCCTTAACCCTGAACTGACTTGGAAAGCTAAGGTAATCTGGTAGAATTCAACTCCACCAACTTATATAGAGAGATGTAAGTGTATGCTTCAACATAGACACAATATTTTCCATGAAGCAGGCATCCTGGCAAGTAAAAATTCCCTCGTGTTTCAGCATGTATCGAGAGACTAACCATCAGATCCTGAACTGGGTTACATAAGCACAATACCCTTATTGTTAGCAGCTGTGTATTGGTCAGCATTGCACAACTGACCAGGTGCATGGCAGGATGGAGTTTTGTCTTTATCCAAAGATTCAGAGTAGATGGGCTCAGGACTTGCTCTATGATGGCAATATATTAATTCCAAGCCATCAGGATTATTATAACCCATAAGATACTTTGCCAATTTATGCATATGTGGTAAAAATTAAGGCATGTAGTAGATGCCAAAAGAGCCATTGGTTTAATGTGGAAACCTTCTTTTCAATTCTGAATGTTTAAGAATTCATTTTAAATGTAATTGTCTGGATGTGAAGGTAAAATAATTGACTCAATGACACTAAATATCATCATACAATTCCAGGGAAGACATATTTAAACTACCAACGGAAAGGATATGTGATTTTCAATGATCACTTTAGGATAAAGGTATAACACTAAAAGTATTCATTAGAAAAGCCAAGGAAAGATCAATCCATACAGGAAAGAAGAGTTTCTAAAATTGAAAAAAAAAATTGAAAAATCTATCTCCCTCTATACTCAAGAAAAAACTTCAATCACTTGAAATTAACAATGAAGATTCTGACTTTTATATTGCCTTATGACAGGATTTCAAAGGCTGTTTTCTCACCTTTGCTCTTTACTTGAGTTTAAATACTTTAAAGTATATTTTCCTTTACGGATGTACCACCCCATTCAATTCATTTGTTGATTTCAAAATGAAATCAACTAGCTTCCAATACCAGCTAGTTGTTATTTAAGGGTACTGTGTTGCAAGGCAAATTATTGAGCTGCTAGTTTTTGTGTTCTGTATTTTCACAGTCAGTTTTTGCTATTACGCTGATTTAATTTTTAAGAAATGTTTACTTATACATAAAACACAACTGATCCAAAATTGCTTATGAAAATAAATGACAATATTTAGGATATACTAATAATACCAGCATTACTATTATAGAAAATGCCCTGTATTGACATTATTAAACCACTTTTCTAAACTTTTTGGATACAGAGCTAATATATACTGACTATGTGCTCTGTGACGGCCATGGAGTTAAGGGCCCACCCAATGAGGAAGCTACGAAGAGTTTCCTTAATGTATAGATGAGGAAGTTGAAGCAAAGTCATTAGAGAAAGCTGAAGTTATCGACGCCAGAGCACTTGCTCTGCACCAGCAACCTAATGATGAGGATGTTTGAAGCTGCAATTAACAGAGGATGAGGAGGACTTCTGCTCCAGCATACGAAGAAAGGAACTCCATTTCCAAGTTTGGGCCACAAGCTTACCTTCAGTACAGGTAAAAATAGTGTCTACAAATAGAAGATTATCAAATACCCAAATTATGAATTATGTTTATGGGACTTTTATTAATGAAAAATATTCAACTCAAGACCCTGTGCCTCAATTATAATAGTGTAGTGGCAAAATATTGACTCATTTCAGTTCTGCCTGTGAAATAATAATGGAATTCAAATATCTCATTGTTGAGAGACACTAAAACCAGTACACAATTTGTTAATATGCCCTCAGTTAGGAAATCACGTACAGATTATACCAACAAAATATGCACTTCACCGTACTGCAAGTAACACCATTTTGAAGGGGATGGACTCCACATTCAGACTCTATTTTAGCTTGTAATCTGTGATGACCTTATAGAAAATGGAATGGTTTTGTATTTCTTTATTGTTTCTGAAAGTAATCTCTCTCGGTGACTTTTCCTTATTATTGTTATAGAGAGCGATGTCTGTTTGTCCAGAACTGTAATTTACAGTAAGTTCTGGGTGAGATTGTGCATGTCCCTGTTCAATACTTTCAGTACCAAAGTGGAAAGAAGAAAGATTATATATTTCCTTCCTTGTTTTATTTTATGTTTCCTTTCTCTGTTTTATTTCCTCAGATTAGTCATGCAGGAGCAGGGACATTTATTTCTGTGCCCAATAGTCTCTTCTATTTAATTTCTTAGGCCAGTTTTTACAAATAAAGAAGTGACTTGGACTCCTCGAGATTCTCTCTGGTCACTTTCCAGGTGGACTTTTCTTTCCCGGCTGTAAATGGCAAAATGAGCAGAGCCTCCATAAATTAGGCACTATTTGTACTACATCTTGCAGAAATTATTTAAATATTCTAGCCTATGGGTGTTCCTATTTTTTATTTCCTCTGCAAATGGTCTTTGATAGATATCAGGGGAAAAATATACACACATCATTTGGAAGATAAGGTGTTAAATATGCATGACAAAATCACAATCTTGAAAGAAAAATAAAGTAACCCTCCACAATTACGCCATGTGGCTTCCTTCATGATTAATGTATTTTAGGGAAAAATTAATTTCCACATCTTTCCCCAAGAAAACAATAAAAACTAGAACAACAAGTTACTGTACCTCTTCTGCCTTTAGTTTTGAAAGTAAATCAAGGTATGTCAAGTTTGCAGATTTTCTGGAAACCCTGAAATGGAAAGTACTCCTTAGCTGGCTAACTACCTCCTGGCTTACATGTCACTTAGGTGTCATATTTCCTCATCTAAATTATGTTCCTCACATCAGTGTCTCATAGTACCATTTTCATTCTTGTATAACCATACCTGCAATTATAGAGTTTTTAATTTCCTACCTCCACAAGTTAATTGTAAACTGTTTTTCTTAAATTTTATTTTAACCATTATACCCAGTGCCTATCACAGTACCTGGTACATAATACACACTCAATAAATATGTATCGAATTAATGATTAAATAAACAGCGAAGCACACAACAGGGATTTTTACTGCTTAATGAAGTAAAATACAGTGTCATAATGTCTTGCTAGTGCATCTTCACACTAATCTACAATTACAGTCATGTGTTGCTTAACAACAGGAATTCTTTCTGAAAAATGCGTTGTTAGGCATTTCATCATTTTGCAAACATCATAGACTGCACTTACACAAATCTATTAATAGATGACATAGCCTACTATACACCTAGGCTATATGGTATAGCCTGTTCTTAGGCTACAAACCTATACATGTCACTGTACTGAATACGGTAGGCAATTGTAACAAAATGGTATTTGTGTATCTAAACATAAAAAAGTACAGTAAAAACTTAGTTGTAATCTCATAGAACCACCGTCCATGTGGTCTGTCATTGACCAAAACATCATACATGGCACATGACTGCACATATTAATCAAGAAATGTCCTGTGCCTTTCTTTTTACCCACCACAATGCCTCTGCTTTGTGAAGTCATGATGGTCTAATTTCTTACTGAGGCAAGGCCAAATACACCACCTGGGATATTCTGAAGTTATGGTTTGACTTTTCACAGGATGGCCTGGGTTTTGGGAGATGCAATGTTAAATATGTGTGATAAAATGAAAGCAATTCAAAAGACAATACAGCTAGGTAGATGTTATACCTAAGCAAGCTACAAGTCTTCTAGCACTGTTCTTAAACCTCCTTCACGAATAACACAAATAGTTTAAATGCTAATAGGACATATTTTAAATATATTTTCTAAGTATTATAGAATGGTCTCTACCTTTCAGCAAACTATCATTTCATATGAAAGAGATAGACTAATTGATCAAGAGATAGATAAATGTATGTATGATATATATGTACTATATACACACAGTATTATATACTATGTGCATATTCTGTGTATTGTATGTTGAAAAATATACCTTGTTCACGCTCATGTTTCACTCACGTAATGGATTTCTCTTTATAATTTTGCATTGCAAAAACAAAGCTCTAGATGAAACATTTCCAGTGACTTAATCATTAGAGACATAATAAAACTAGATATCTAGGCAAAAGTTAAGGTTTCTTTCCTCACAGTGTCTATTTGGCAATGCAGATTGTTTCATATCACTGGATAAGTTACTTTACAGTTATCTCTTTAATCTTAGAATAAACCTGACCTGATAGGTGAATTATTTCAGGAGGAAAGGCAAGAGGAAGAAATGCTGACTCTACCTAATCCCTAAACCATCCTACTCTGCTCCAGGTGGGACTCCTTAAGAACAGTACAGGGATTATGTGCTTTGGCCTCACATTGGGTATGTCAGCTAAGGTCCTCAAGACTCTGCAATGTCATTCACGTGGCCTGAAATGCTCCAGTCCTGACCTGTCCAACAAAGTTCCTCCTTCATTTAAATTTCTGCTTTGAGCATTACACTGTCTCCTGACTAAAGCCCTCTGGAATCTAGACACCCACGTGCTACGACACCCCCACACCATTTATGTCTGTTTCCATAAAAATAGATGTGACTTGTTTACATGTTTTCTCTGTGTTCCTGGGTCCTTTCATGTGTCTGTCTGGCTGAAATGAAAGACTGCAGAGTATTTCCTGCAACCCAACCACAGCAGGAAGACTCAGCTCTGTCCTTGGACCACCAGGGGGATTCCATCGTGGGCCTGACGTGTGGGGGTGAAAGCTGCATTGTCTCCCAGCTTTTCAATGGCCCCAAGTTGCCAGTGAAAACAGAAGAAATTCACAAAGCCCAGAAACCATGGCTCAGGTTGTCATAAGGCAGGGTTGAAATGTTACTTCAGTTTCTATAGATCACTAAGTTCATTTAACCATGGAAACATGATGCTGGTAACTGCATGAAAAGGTGAGGTGTCAGTGGCGGTCTTCAAGTGGTGAAATGTGTCCCCTCGATTGATTTCACCATTTACTTTTCTGAGGTTCTAATGGCAGATCACAAAAAGTTATTTAAAAAAAAAAAGAAGTAGTCCACTAGACAGCAAGCTCTATGAGGTCAGAAAGGATTACTATTTTGTCTGTTGTTGTCATTATTGTTGTTGTTCATTATTGTACTGTCCCTGGAGCCAAGCACGGTACTCAATACATTGCAGGCATGAATTAACATTTATTGGGTGCTTACATGTTCTAGACACTTCTGAGAACTGGTAATACTGTGATAAATAAGACAAAGCTCTTGCTTTCATGGAGTTCACATTCTATTTGGGAAAGGAAAAAATAAACAGAATTAAATGAAAAAGAAAATATCAGAAACTGACAAGTATCAGGGAAAGCAGGTGGGGGTGAATTTAAATGGCATGGATAGGAATGATAGGTCTTTTTTATTGCATGACTGGAGCTAGCTATGAGAAGATCACAAGACTTCCCATTCTTGAGTGCCTAAGAGAATCGCCTGAGTTGAAGACTACCAATGCCTTGGCTATATTCTCAGAGACTCATTTTGCTGGGTTTGGGAGGTGGGGCCTGAGCATTGGTATTTTCTAAATGTTCCCCAGCTGATGCTAATAATCAGGACAGAACCACTGAAGAGGAAAAATGTTCCAGGTGAAGGAATAGCTAGTACCAAACTCTTCCAATGAGGGGTGAGGCTTGTGATTAGAGCAGTGGTTGACAAACCTCTAATTGTAATCACCTAGACAGCTTTTAAACATCCAGATACCCATACCACACCCCAAACCCATTAAATAGAAGGCAAGGGGTGGAGGTGGGGCCAAGAAGAGTGAGGAGTGGGAAGCAACAGTATTTTCGAAAAGTACTCAGGAGTTTTCAATGTACTGCCAAGTGTGTTAGACAAAGTGACCAGTCTTCCTGGTTTTCCCAGGACTAAGGGATTTTCAGGGACATGGAAATTTCAGTGCAAAAACTGGGGCTGTCTCTGGCAAATGATAATTTGTCACCAGGGTTAGACAAGTCATTCTCAAAGAATGGTCCTACGGCATCAGAAACGCTGGGGTGAGGCCCCGCAATCTGTGTTATTACAGCCCCTCTACATGATTTTGATGTAAACTAAGGTTTGAGAACCAATGTGTTAGAGTAATGGAGAAATCTATGTCTACAGTGTAGACAGAGAAGGGGGCAATGGTTTGAAGAATTAATGAATAAATCAATTGACTCATCAGGAAATATATGTTGATAATGTCTAAACAGGATGAATATTAAAGTCTTGATTTTATGAATGTATAAGCCAGTAGAAAGGCATATTTTGCTCAAGCAATAAAACAAATGTTTATAGTTTTTAAACAATCAAAAGCAAAAGAAATCAGCTTAAGGCTCAAACTGCTGTGAAACTCCTTAGAATAGAGTACCTTGATAATATGATGCCAAAAGAAAACCACTTACAGTTTAAAAAAAAAGTATACTGGAAAGCGAAGGGGAAATTCCAGAAAGGAGGGAGCCCAAAATGCAGAGTCTATAAACTTTGTTCCAACTGTGGCTGACCCCTGTGATGTGCATATAGCACTGACAGCTAAAGCTAATGAGAACTAACCCAAGATTTGAGGTGTGAGATAGAGAGTTTACAGTTTGAGTTCAGCAAAATTAAGTGACTATTTTTTAAAAACAGCACTATTCAGGGGAGTATATCAAAATACAGAGTCTCTACAAGAGATCATTCATGACTAGAAAACATTTACTGAATTTACTCAACTGCCCCCAACATGCCATAAAAAAAAAAAATCCAGGAAAATACGAGATTTGCAAGAGAAATGACAAATAATGGAGACCAATTACAAGATACCCAGATATTAGAACTAATGTCTTGGGATGCTTCCACCCAATCTTCCTTCCCTCTCTCCTCCACTCAGAGTAGACATGCATGAGTTTTAGCAGCTCTCAGTCTTTTCCAGCTCCTGTCTCATTTTCTCTTACAGGTGCTTCCTGTATTAACATCCTTGCAAGTGGTACCTGCCTCTCTGAGGATCCAGCTACGCAATGAATCTGAGAAAGCTTAAAATCGGAAATGCTGCTCTAGTAATGGTTCTCAAACCCTGGTGGTCTTGACATACAGGTCTTATTAAAACACAGTTGCTGGGCTCCACCTAAGAGATCTGGATTCTGAATTTGTATGTCTAACAAGTTTCCAGGTAATCCTGATGCTTCCAGTCTGGGCTACACTTTAAGAACCACTGGTGTAAGCATCACTCTCCTTGGCCCCAGGACAATAGGATGATAAGGGATCTCACCAATCACCTTTCCTTGTTTGGTTTCTGAGTTATTTCCTGGGGGAAATCTGATGCTTGAGCATCTGCTATTAGAGGGAAGGTGAAAGCATAGGAGGCAGGGACCAGGCCTTCTCCCCTACTACAACCAGAGCAACTCTGCTACTCTCTGTTTCATATATTGATATTTTATTTGATGAAAGAGTTCAGATGATAAGAAAAATATTTGAAAACAATGGCTCTAATAAAACTCAGCCAAGCTGTTGCCTATACAAATCAAAGACAATCCCGGCAACTCTTGCCTCTGGTCGGGTTTACCAGATGGACAACACTGACCAGTAGCTAAATTGTGAACAGCCATGCCCTATGCCCTTGTACTAACTTTCACATGCGTAAGTCTGCAGTAACACTTAGGTCTCCAAGAGCCCTCGATTTCCCTGACTCACATGTTCCCTGCTCTCAACGCATGGGAGAGACTTTTTATCCTTTTGGTGAGACAAAATAGCTTCTAAGCAAACCATATGGAAGAAACATTTTCCTCTGGTGAGGGCAGACCTTTTTCCCTTTCTTCTTTCACTGTTGCCCCTTCAAAACCTGCTTCCCTTGTTTGATAGCTGCAGGGGAGAAGACAAATAGTAATCAAACAGTTCAAAGCTGCAGGCAGGGTCAATCTTCAGGCTGCTGCTGTTCTATCAACAGATAAACACTTCTCATCACTTTTAATTCTTTTAAACACATTCCTGCTCTGCCACTAGAGCTAAGTTATTCAAAAAGCTAAAAAGTTTCATGCGTCTTATTTTTTATTTTATGTAAATGAAAGGGCCTGCCTTTTACTTTTCAGTACTAACTGATAGATGCAAACATGAGCAACGGTGAATTATAAAGGACTGACAGTCGCAACTCAGTGATACTGTCTAGTTTTTACAACATGGGAGAAACATTACACAGTTACATACAACTCTTTCTTTTTCTTTTTTTTTTTTTTTTTTGAGACAGTGTCTCACTCTGTCACTCAGGCTGGAGTGCAGTGGCACAATCTCGGCTCACTGCAACCTCCCCCTCCTGGTTCAAGCAATTCTCCTGCCTCAGCCTGTTGAGTAGCTGGGATTACAGGCATGTGCCACCACACCCGGCTAATTCTGTATTTTGAGTAGAGACAGGGTTTCACTATGTTGGCCAGGCTGGTCTCGAACTCCTGACCTCAGGTGATTCACCCGCCTCAGCCTCCCAAAGTGCTGGGATTACAGGCATGAGCCACCACACCCAGCCTCAGATAACTCTTAACTCTTCAGGTACAAGTGATGGAAACCTAAGACATTTTTAGCTTTTTTTTTTTTCCCATTTAAATACTGCCACTTAATGAACCAATAGGACTTCTGAGATTAAAAGATGTGGGGTGGGGGGAAGTAGATGCAACATATGTTTGCTGTTAAATAGAAGTTCTGACAAAAATTTGGTGGGAGGAAGCTACTAGGCATCAACTTCTTCCATATTTTGAATCAAGTAGTAATTTGAATATGCCATCCCTACGTCACTATCCTGGGATAATTAGGAACTATCTTTCGGTGGTTAGTTTTTTGTTGTTGTTGTTGTTGTTTTTTAAATAACGTTGGTAAGAAATTAAATCAGAGAAGTGATAAACAGAAGATAAGGCAACAATAACAGAGAGCTGAAGGGGCCTAAGTCCTCTTCTTTAAAAAGTATAACACTTTAAACTTTCATATTGGTAGTGATGACTTTTGGAGGGGTATGTTTGAGGCAGACGATCCGAAGAATTTACTCCAAAACTTCACCCATCTCCACCCCCACCCCCGCCACCCTCCTGCCCACCATCCTGCTTCTATCTTGTTGAAGTATAGGCATACTGAAAAAAATCTGCTTAATGAGTTAAGGAGGGATGCAGAGGCAGTGCGATGGAGGGGTGGAGATCTTAAACACTGGTTCAAATGGTTGAGTTTGAATCTCAGATTTAGCCACTCAGCAGACTTTAGAAAAGATGTGCCCTCTTTCTGCTGTTTCTGTATCTATACATCAGTTAGGCCAACCTAACTCTCCAGGATTGTTGTGAAGATTTCGTGGCATGATGTCCACAGAAGCAAGTCCTACGGTTATTTGTAACATAGTACTTGATGCTCAATAAATATCGGTTAAAAAGTAGGAAGCTGATTCATAATCTTTTGGAAGATTAAACTAACAGGCCCAGCCGGGCACGGTGGCTCACGCCTGTAATCCCAATACTTTGGGAGGTCAAGGCAGGCGGATCGCCTGAGGTCACGAGGTCGAGACCAGCCTGGCTAACATGGTGAAACCCTGTCTCTACTAAAAATACAGAAATTAGCAGCGTGTGGTGGCGTGTGCTTGCAATCCCAGCTACTCGAGAGGCTGAGGCAAGAGAATCTCTTGAACTGGGGAGGCACAGTTTGCAGTGAGCCAAGATCACACCACTGCACTCCAGCCTGGGCAACAGAGCAAGACCCTGGCTCAAACAACAACAACAACAAAACAAACAACAACAAAACTAACAGGCCCACCTTCAGGATGACATAATATATCTTCAGAAATGAAATTGGAAATAAAGGTTAAAACAGTCTTAAGTTATGTAGGGGTTTGTTTTATAAGGAGTTTCATTTGCTATATTGGAGAACTGGGGATAAAAAAGAGATAAGTGAATGAATAAATAAATACAATAGAATGTAGGAATGCTCATGCTTCCATATACAAAGGCTTGCTGGAGTAGAGAGAGGAGCAGCTGCCAAGAGTGAGGGGAGGTGAGTATCCAGGGAAAGTTTTGCTTTGCACAGAGACTCACAGAGGACTTGAGCCCTGGTTATAAGCGGAATTCGTCACACAGATGTAGTGGGGTAGGGGGCAGGGAACAGTGAGCATACCAGACTGACATTATGTGTGCTCATATAACATATGACTTCAGAATAACACAGTTTCATCAATTTGCCATGAAAAACAAGAAAAAGAAACATCATAGGTGAATAAAACTTGCCCATTTAAAACAGGCAGTTTTAAGCAGAAGAAAATGGAGAAAGTAAGAAACATGAATAAGGCTCTCAAATTGTGTGCTATAGAGGAAAGAGAGCCAGGAAGTCAACAACCTGCTCAAGTCCAGCTCTACCAGATGCTACCTGGGGGATCTTGGACAAATCTCCTCAAACTCTGAGCCTCAGTTTTCTCATCTCCAAAAACTCAGAGTTGGCTTAGCAGATCATTAAGGCATCTGCCATTTCTCAAAACCGTAGGACACAATGAAAATCAAAGCTCTACTTCTACATATCTATTAATTAAAAGAGACCAGTGAAGAATCTGCTGCTGCTTTTGAAAAATCACTGTTTTGAAACCTCACTTCACCATACAAAACAGATTATACACCTATAAATCTTATGTCTATATGTATGTATGGATGTGTGTATGTGCATGAGCGTATGTGTGTTACAGCTTATTACTTAGGGGAAAAATAGACTGGATTAAGTCACACCTGGGTAAGGTGGATGGGGAGGGAGGGATGGGAAGGAAAAGGAATTTGAAATGTCTGCAGAGCTCATTAGTGCCCTGATACTAAATGATTCAAGGACATCTTTGGCTTTGATTCAAACAGTTGTTCTGTTCTGAGTAACATGACGACAATCTAAAGATCCACAGCTGGCCTCTGGAAAATCCTGTCGGATTCTTCTGTTCTAAAAGTAACAGATTTGCTGTATTGGTTGGATGATACAGGACCATTTCAGAATGAATCCTGTCAAAGCCAGGGGCCCAGAGGAGCTGCTTCCTAAAGCAGTTTTGGTAGAAGATGGGATTCGTTTTTAAGTTGCTCTGGTATTAAGAAAGGCTGAGTAAGCAGTTTTGAGAGGTCACAGCTCAAGTTCACTTAAACAAAAAGTGAACATTTGTGTTTAGACATTGTGGGGGGTGCATTTTTGTTACTCTACCCTATGTCTTCAGTCCCGGGGTTTCTCAGCCCACTCTCCAAATAACGCAGAGGACAGATGACGTCAAGATGAATCACATGCCTCCGCGTGTATATCCTGTCTTCTCTTCTTTCACAGAAGTTTGATGCCACAATGGATGCTACCAATGACACCATTTGATTTGGAAATAAGGAGATAGGCCCAAGTTTTTATCGGACACACCCCTCATTCTTCGTTCATCACAGCATCCCTGAAATTGAAAGCCAGCAGCGACCCGAGGTACCATCAATTTAGCTGCTTATTCCTAAGAAAAAGTTAATACTTTAAACATTAGGATAATATGAGATTAAAATCATAAATTTATTCCAGAGGCGTGAAGGATTTACCCCAAACGCTTCTTTCTACCTTTGCTTTTTAAACTGAAGATAATCCCCATTAAAGTTAGACACAGATTAATCTAATACATAATTTTCACTACTTGCTGGGGGGCTCAGGGATTGTTATATCACACCGCACGTGCTCCCCTTACATGTAAGATCCTCCCCTCCAACTCCTCACCTCTCCTTCCTTAGATCCCAGAAAGCTCTGACCACCAATGAATGGAACACGAGCCACCTGAGAGCCAGTGATACCAAAATATTTCTAGGAATGAATTTATCTCTTTTCAAATACAAACTCTAAGCCCTGCGGAATTTCTTTTTCTTTGGGGAGGCAAAAGAAATATTTTCCTTGCTGCCACACCAACAAATTTTCTTTTTCCCCCCTGAATTTTTACAGTCAATTTTCTACACTCAAATTTGCATGCCTGGTGTAAATTTCCAGGAGCTTTCCTCCTGGAAAGCCAGTGTCTCATACGCCTCCCAGCAAACACTGACCACATCCTGAACGAAGCTAAGCACTGTGTAATGCTAAGCAGACCTGGGCCCGTAGGAAACAAGATGCCACATTCGGGACAGCTGTCAGCACTCATCCAACACCCTGCCTTCCACTCGTCCATCCCTGCAATTAGTGAGGAGTGAGGTTTGGAGGTAAGTGGACAGCTTCTGACCCCCAAAGCAAATGAGAGCAGTCACTTGATTGCTATTTTGCAAATACTTTGCTGAGGTTGACCACTGTCTGAAACAATTTCATTTCTATGTAAGTGTTGCTTACTAACCCTTTTCTCCTGAGACACTTGAACATCATTTTACACATTCCTACATAATCCCAAAGAATTTAAGAATACCACAGATTCACACTTTAGTTTTAAGCAACTGGTGCCTGATAAAAGCTTTTCTGAAGACAGAAAAGTAGCTTGGTGGTGGTGCTTGATCCATTTAGCAAATATTTAAGTCAGATTCAAGCCAATGAATTTTTTTTCATTGATGTGTTCATGCAAAAAACATTTTCTTGAGCATTTATTTTGTTCAAAATACTATGTCAAATGCTGTAGCTGACATGAAAACAGAAGCAACAGCTTCTCCCTTAAGAGATATTTGTGTGTGCATGAACAATTGTAACCCTCCTGTATACAGAAAGTATAGAATTTAAAATTTTGAAATAGGAAAATAATGACATGCATTTACCAAATTTAGAAATGATTAGACATGGAACTCAAAATTAATTTGCACTTGAGTTCACACTTTCTCACAATAAATTTCATAGTCAAAGAAAAAAGTAACAGAATAAGTGATCTATAATCAAATATTAATTTCATTTATACAGTAATTCTCAAAACTTTAATTTTTTACTTTATTTTCATCAATATTAATGCTTTGGGGATGCTGTTATTTTAAAAAGCAGTTAATGCTTGCAGATAATTAAAATGTGGCAAGGGCAAGCTTAGCTATGCAAAGCATAATACAATGCAATATGTTTTAAAGATCTTTTATTGTAAGTCAAATTACAAACTGAAACGGCCTTTATGTGGTATTTTGATCAGTAACCTGCTTTTACAGATAAGGAAACTGAGGCCCAGAAAGAAAGTGGTACATTTATAAAAGCCTACAGCTTTTATAGCACTGTGGCAGGTGCCTGTAATCTCAGCTACTCGGGAGGCTGAGGCAGGAGAATCGCTTGAATCCAGGAGGCGGAGGTTGCAGTAAGCCAACATCATGCCACTCCACTCCAGCCTGGGCAACAGAGCAAAGCTCCAACTGAAAAAAAAAAAAAAAAAAAAAAAAAAAGAGCCTAAAGCTTTTGCCCAGAGGGGAGTGTACCTGTTGCAAACTCATCGCTGTTTTACTCTTAGTTTAGACATAATCCTAATTAGGCTGGTTATCTGATTCTCCAGCCCAACAGAAGACTTTTAGAAAGAAATAAAGGAAACACCACTAGACTTAGATTTTACAATTGCTGCAAAGTCAAAGAATTAACAACAATGAAGGAAGCAGCTGGGGAAAAGACATCAGAAACATCACAAAATAAATACATCAAATATCAGAAAATGTGCAGCAGCCTGGTGATGTTTAACTTAAGGGCAATTGCTCCATGCACATTAACAGTCCCTCCACATTTAACTGCATTCCAGTCTCTTCTTGTTCCATTCTCCTTGTCTCACATTAAGCTCTAACCACGCTGTTCTTCAGTTCTGCAAAACTTGCCAAGTGCTTTCCCACCTCAGGGACAGCTCATGCTGTTCTCCCTGCTGGGAACTCCATTCTCCCCATTCTCAACATGGCTGGGCCTTCTCTCTTTAAGACTCCCTTTATACAGTAACTGATAGTGCATGGGCACTCAGCAAATATTAGTTCAATAAATAAATGAAAAAATATGTTAACCCTGTGTCCTCCAGGAAAATTAATCTTTAGTATGTTCTCACTAACAAGCAAAGAGAAAAATGCTTATAATATGTCCACCAAAAATGTTTAAAATAAGTCTGTCTTAAAACGGAGTAGCAACTTCAGGTAACTAAAAAAGTTCTTATTTTGAAAATATAATGCAATCACCACTGAGCTACTTCCCTAACATAGTAATTTCTCTTGAAACCCTCATTTTCTTTTCTTTGAAAGCAAGATTTTATAACAATGTGGCTAATGCAGCCTTCCTTTTTATGGTAGCAAGCTACATATCATCAACTTTGGATACCACACTTCATGATTGGTGAAAGAATAATCGCATAAATTTTTGCCTAACAATTTTTCCAATCAGTTAAGTTAAAAAAATCAACTTTATCATTTAGGTCAGAATCGAAGGCTTAACATGATTAAAAGGTTTTTAATGCAATGATTATCATCAGAATAGACCACAGGTCAAAGGGAAAAGACAGTCTAATTGCTTTTTATATTGTAACTCTCAACTATCAATGAGTTAAGTCAAAGTTTTTTTTTTATAATCCTTCCATATTGAGACAATTCCTATTTTACAGTAGAAATGTAAACCCACATTTGTATTTTCTCAATGATCTGTCAGTCCAAGTTGCTCACTTCACAAGTCTTAAGGAAGTGCCTCTTTGCCCCAGCTGTGCCAATTCAACCTGGAATGGGAAACATCGAGCTCTGACACCCTTAAGAGCTACCAAGATTTTGTGATGGAAATGAAGCTGACAGTTTTGTCAGGGATGTGAGAAGCAGAATCAGATTCAGCTAGTTCCTGCGGAGATGTGCTGGCTCTATCAAGATGAAGATAATAAAAGTAAGTTTGGTGGGTAAAATGGGTAGATATAACTCAAAGACACATGGGAAGAGATACTGAGCGAAAGGATGACATTTCACACATTACTGATCAGGGGAGCAGTGCCTTGGCCAAGGGTTCGGTAACCACTGGATGGAAAGGAGAGACTTGAGTGTTTCCCTAGGATCACCTACGTCCTACATTTAGATTCATCTTCTTAAGATCTAAAATCCCTGACCCCTATATCTCATCCCCCTTAATTCATATTTCAAGCAATTGACTTACAAGTCCTTGGCAGCATATATGTGCAATGAGGCTCTTAATGATCCAAAGTCCCATTCCTCACATGAATTGAGTACCTCATTTTTAAAAAGTTACCTTGGGCCAACGCATGTATTATCTACAACCTTTGAAACAATCCTTAAAGGTAGGTGTTATTATTTATGCTTTGCAGATGAGAAAACCAAAGCTCAAAAAGGACAATGAACTTCCCCAAGGTCACACAGCTAGGAAATAGCAGAGCCAGGATTCAAACCCAAGTCCTTTAGAGGGAGGCTGCTCTCTTAGCTTCAATGTTGCTCCTAATTCTCACGAAGGAACTTATTAACTGCTTTTGGCTAAAGGAAGCTATTTTTCTTTTATAAAATGTAAATTAAATAAAATCTCTTCAAAAATATGTAAAGCATCTCCATCATCTTTCTAATAATAAATATTAACTTCACCTGAGCTATGTCCTGGGTTTCCCAAGAGCCATAGCATCATTACAATGTCATTTTCCAGCAAGATGTCTGGACAAGCCATGCTTCATGGCCATGCTCCCCACAGGCCATGTCACCACCAACGACGACTATGGTGCCCATTTATATTTGGAAGCTCTGTCCCAGGAAAGAGGCAATCTCTGGGAGCTGAGGAGCACATTCTTCTGAAAGCTGTTTTTTATAGCAATCACTCAAACAGTTTTCATTTTCTATAAGTTTTGTTTGAGAAAGATCTTAGGGTAACAGTCCTTTGTACAAAACCTTATAGGTTTCTAGTTTGGAGTTTTCCATCTGTTTTTGACCCTGTTCTTGAGGGGTGTGTGTGTGTGTGCATGTGTGTGTGTGTATCACTGATAAAGAAATATTCTTATCAGGGTTATAGGTTATGCTTACTATGTACCTGAATGATGAATTTAAAAATTAAGAAATGTGGTACAGCATCACAAAATAGCCGTTTGACTAACTTTCCACTGAATCAAATTTTTTGCTTCTCCGTTATGTCCAGAGAGACATGATCTTTCTGGCTGGTAAAAGAAAAGAAATGCAGAACTTAGGTTCTTGCCTCTACCACTTATCCTTTCTCAGATATGATGTCATCATTTGCAAAATGGAAATATCTAATAAAATACCCAAGTTATATTGAGACTCAAATGGAATCATTCATTTGAAGACTTTTGAAAATGACAAAGTCTAATAAGCCCTCATGTAAGCTAGTGTCTTACATAAGTTACAGTCTTTCTTTGTATGCCATCATAAGAGATTCCACATAACAGCAACCTTCTGTAGCTTCAAAGGTTGTGGTGTTGCTCAATTTGAAATTTCTTTTGCTATTTTAAATTTGGACATTTTTCCCCAGGAGTTACCTAGTCTGAAGACACGGTTTACTTAGAGAAGCCTACTTGCAATTGTGTGGCTCTGTGCTCCCACACAAAGTAAGAAAAGAAACTTGTGACATGTTAGAATGTTGGCCAACAAAGAAGAGAGTGTGAGAACAACTTTGAAAGCAAGACAGACTTAAACTGGATGGATGTTCCCACTTTCTTGAGAGCCCTCACATTAAGGCTGGAGAAAAGACCAGAGGATAGAGAGGAGGAAGGATGAGGTCCACATTGAAATGCCCAGAGTGCTAGAAGAAATCCCCTATTCAGTAACTTTTCAGATAATATCTAGGCCTATGATGATTACAGCATGGTTCCAAAATGAGCGGTAATGAATAGTGTTGAATCATTTAAACTCCTAAGAAAAAAATCAAGAACAAAGTCTAATGATTATCCCTACTGAGTAAAATATTGCAGACCACAAAATGGTTTGCCATTCGAATGCATTTCCAGCATAAACAAACACATACTTTTAATGCACACACAACTCCCTACATGTAAACCATAGTCAAAGGCTGAAAGAGTTAATTTAGGCCTTGAAGAAAACCTGCTTTAAGCACTGGTTCAAAAGCTCTTAAATAGCAGAAAAATCAATACACTTTTATCAAACGTCAGTGTTTATAGAAGCAATACAAAACAGGATTTTGTTAAATGTATATATTACGCCAGATCAAACTGTAAGTTAAAACATCTGCGTTCAAGTTAATCTCAGATACAGCAAGGAGATTATTTGAATTGTGTGTTTCCTTTCGTGACCTTTTTAGATGTGGCTTTTGGGGGGACAGGCGAGGGAATAATTTTCTTAAGCTTTTAGTTGCCTGCAACAGTGCCAACAGTTGAACATAACAGCAATATTTTTTTAAGTTACCCAGATGAATAACAAAAAGGAAGGAAAATCCCTTTAGTAATTTCAAAATAGTGTTGTATAGGGAATCTTTAAAAATAAACTATAGATATAAATATAGGTATGTGCATCTAAGATTGCTATAGGCTTTCCATGGCATAAAATTTTCAATTAAAACAGCTTTTATGAGCAATAATCACATTTTGAGAAAGCATCCACAACCTGCTCACGGGTTATACCACTTCCTCGATGAAACAAACCTTAAAATATAAGCAAATAGAATGCATTTAGCTTAATATGCATGATGTTTTTTAACATAATAAAGATTTTTAAGGTCTCATAGAAAGTCCTTGGTTCTGGTTTGTAGCAGACAAGCAAAGAAGAACTGAAGTTGATGGAAGCTTTCTTTTTTTAGCTCTGTTTTTAAGGGATCAGACATCTGTAATTCAAATCCATTTTGATTGAAACAATAAATTTGATTCAATTCTGAAATTTCATTTGAAAAGTGTAAGAGAGAAATTCATGGGACCCCTCAAAGTAAATGACAAGCCTGGTCTCTGAAATATGTCAGGAACACATTAACACCATGTAAAAATAACAGCAGAGCCATACCAGAGTCACGACGGCCAAATGTCCTGAAAACAGGGCCCTTCCTGGGAAAGGAATGTGTAGATCTAATACTAATAGTATCTGTGTTAAGCACTTGGAACATATGATTGAATCTCCTTAATTATTATTTTTGGTGTGGTAATGATATTCTGTCTGTTTACTTGGTCATGTGCTGGGGAGAAGATAAGAACTCAAGATTAAGAAGACTACACTGTAGACGCTCCATGGGAAGCAGAGTCATTCAACAAACACACATATTCACTGAGTGTATATTATGGCCAGGAACACCTGAGTTTATGAAGCTTATATTCGTGTGTGTGTGTGTGTGTGTGTGTGTGTGTGCGTGTGTGTGTGTGTGTGTGTGTGTGATATGCCAGGTGTTGATCACTACGAAGAAAATTAAGCAAGGAAAGAGAGTGATCAAGAGAAACCTCTCTGTTGAGGTGACATTTGAGCAGAGTCCTACATAAAATTAGGCAGTAAGCCCCAAGGATGTCTGTAAAAAGAATATTCCATATAGATATAACAGGAAATATTAGAATGCCAAAGTGTGAGCTTGCTTAGTGTGCTAGAGAACATCAAAGGGGTCAGTGAGGCTGAAGTAGAAGGAGAAGGTTGGATAGAGATAGAAAATAAGATAATAGAGGTAAATGGGACCGGATCATTCCACCTCTGGAATTCACGCTCATCATGATGGAAAGACATCGGAGGATTTGAGCAGAACAGGGTCACGATGATCATCGTGTTCAATGACTAGGGTGGTCCAATGAATAGGGTTTCCATCTAAAGTAAAGCACAATGCTGAAAACAATACCTAGTATATAAACGATGTGCAATAAAGATTTGTTGAATCAAAGAAAAGATGAATTAATATAAGAAATAATGGGGATAGCCTATGCCCCAGCAGAAACTTATCTACCATTAGACCTTTATTCCATTAATCAAAGCCATATTCCCTTTACTTTGCAGAACATACCTGAGCAGTATAATAATTTAGCCACTTCAAGTCATCAGTGTATTCCACAAATTAGTTGACTAACAAATCTGGCCAATATAACTATCAACAGAAAGGAGGTTTCCTAAGTGTCTGGACAAAAAGAGACCTAGGGGGTAAGTTTTCCATTTGATTCTCAAGAAGGCATGAGTAATGGTAAAAAATTGAGAGAACGCTACTAAAAGGAGAATAAAATAATGCTGAATTCTGCCTATTTTTCAACGTTCCTTAAAGCCAATTCTGGTAATAACAACTGCCCACATCCACAACATATTTTTAGTATCTACAGTACTTCTTCAGAATCCAGTTTCTCTAGTTGAAGGATGTGGTTATCAGTCCTGGATTACCATTCTTCCTGGGGTACAGGAAATTGGATCTTGAGCTACTTACATGAGAACATAGTTAGCAAGTGATTTTTACCTAGACCAGGATCATATTGGGCATTTTGGAGACAGAAAAATTGTCTTCATTCTCAGTATACAAAAGCCTGCTCTGAAGTAATAAATACGTCTCTTAGAGTGCCCAGTTCACTAACAGAAAGGGAAAGTTGCCATTAGGGAGATCTGATTCCTTCTATCAGTGGGCACAAGAAGTTAGGCCAAGCCCCTCCTAGAAGACAGTCACATTACAAGTATCATTGACCCAGGTCCCAGGGCTCAGTAATATTCAGCCCTTTCTAGGTTATACAATTTTCTTCATTGTCAAGATATTAAATGGTGATGTAAAGGACAGACATATCTCCAGTAGGAAAAGAAATTGAGATTCTGTTTCATGACAGGTTAACAGAATAAGTTGAAATTAACTCTTATAAAGAGAAATTTCAAGTACATTCCTTTCCTCTACCCTACAGATATAATTATTCCCTTATTATGACATGACGGTGGTTGAATTATAAAAGTTACATAGGCTTATCGTTTGAGATGTTGCATTTATTTTATTTTATTTATTTATTTTTTTGAGACGGAGTCTCGCTCTGTCGCCCAGGTCGCCCAGGCTGGAGTGCAGTGGCGCGATCTCGGCTCACTGCAAACTCCGCTTCCCGGATTCACGCCATTCTCCTGCCTCAGCCTCCCGAGTAACTGGGACTACAGGCGCCTGCTACCACACCCGGCTAATTTTTTTGTATTTTTTTAGTAGAGATGGGGTTTCACCGTGTTAGCCAAGATGGTCTCGATCTCCTGACCTCGTGATCCGCCTGCCTCGGCCTCCCAAAGTGCTGGGATTACAGGCGTGAGCCATGGCGCCCGGCCAAGACGTTGCATATTTTTAACAAATAAATCACCTACAACTCAACAACCCAAAGATAAGAAACGTTTTGGTATGTTTACTTCTAGATATTTTTTTCTCTGTATATACATATCCCACTCATTGTGCTGTGGACTTTTAAGGACTGATATCTGTATTTGTCTCCTCGACATCTCTGGGGGACTACTTTTTATATACTCTACTTGCCAGCAGCTATACACAAGTAGGCCTTTCAGATCATATTCTAAAATAATTGCTAGTGCTTAATTATAAAAATTCATTCACAGAAGGAGTATTGCTTTCACTTAGATTGCAGAAAGCCATAAGAGGCTTTCCCCCCCTTTTATTATTATTAATACTATTATTATTATTATTATTATCATTAGAGACAGTATTGCTCTGTTGCCCAGACTGGAGTGCAGTGGTGCAATCACGGCTCATTGCAGCCTTGATCTCCCAGGCTCAAGTGATCCTCCCACCTCGGCCTTCCAAGTAATTGGGAATATAGGGGCACACCACTGTGCCTGGTTATTTTCTCTCTCTTTTTTTTTTTTGTAAAGACAAGGTCTCACTATGTTGTCCAGGCTGGTCTCAAACTCCTGGGCTCAAGCAATCCTCCTGCCTTGGCCTCCCAAAGTGCTGGGATTACAGGCATAAACCACCACACACAGCCCAAATAATGACTTTTCTTTAGCATTTCCTAGAAGGCAACCACGTAAACCAAATACCGAAGAACTGTCAAACCCTTCTAAGAACAGACAGTATCTGAACTATTTCACCTTTGGTAGAACATGGGAGGAAGAAGCAGCTACCATAAAAGCAGGCAAGATGAAAATAGCTAAAATTTTTACAAATTTTCAAGTCCGAGGATGGAACGACATGACAGAATAACTGGAAGTCGCAGATAAAAGGGGAGTCTCCAACAAGCTCCTGTCTTTGGGCAACCACTCCCTGCTGCTAAGAAAGCATGGGAGGAGGACGGGACATAGAGCGCTTCAGGTGCATGTGCATGTGCGTGATGATCCACCGTTACTTGGGCGGAGGAAGAGGGGAAGGAGTTCAACCCCGCTCCCTTCCTTGGACCCCTCCCTCACAGAAAGTAGAAGTCTTAAGCCACTGAGAGAGAGAAATAAAATGTTTCAACTATCAGAGCCAAGTCCAAGATCCATACTTCCGATCTGTTTCACTGTAACCTCAAATTAAACATGTCCAAAACGAACTCATTTTCTTCCTCTTAAAATCTCTACTGTTTCTCTTAACAATGGATGGTGTGGCCGTGCCCCCAGTTTGCATAGCACAAACCTTGGAGTTCATCATCATTCCTTCTGTCTGACCCTTCTTTCCTTAGCGTGAAATTGGTCCTTCTTCCTATCTCTCAGACCTAAACAGGAGAACCTTCTAAATCCCACTGTAACGATTTAGGTCAGGCCCTTACCATCATCTCCCAGGCTATTATAACAGCTTCCATTATAATTAATACCTTTGTCTTCAGTCTCTCCACCTTTCCCACACTGATCAATTTCTGTCCCTCATCAAAATTCTTCAGTCTCTCAGTCCTACAAATTGAAGTTCAATCTCCTCACGCAGCAGAAAACATCTTGTATACCTTTACAAATACATTAGATCTACACCTTATGGCCTGTCTCGAACCCCACTGAAGAAACTGCCATCACACCAGCATCCTACACCATTTTACACCTCATTGCCTCAGTCTTTACACGTCAGTCACTCAGCATGGAATGACCCATCCTGCATTTTCTACCAGATAAAGTGGCATTCACCTTTTTTTTTTTTTTTTGAGACGGAATCTCGCTCTGTCGCCCAGGCTGGAGTGCAGTCACGCGATCTCGACTCACTGCAAGCTCCGCCTCCCAGGCTCACGCCATTCTCCTGCCTCAGCCTCCCAAGTAGCTGGGACTACAGGCACCCACCACCACACCCGGCTAATTTTTTGTATTTTTAGTAGAGACGGGGTTTCACCATGTTAGACAGGATGGTCTCGATCTCCTGACCTTGTGATCCAGCGGCTTCAGCCTCCCAAAGTGCTGGGATTACAGGCATGAGCCACTGCGCCTGGCCTGGCATTCACCTTTTTAGACTCAGCTTAGGCTGGACGCAGTGGCTCATGCCTGTAATTCCAGCACTTTGGGAGGCTGAGGCCAGTGGATCAGGAGGTCAGGAGTTCAAGACCAGCCTGACCAACATGGTGAAACCCCGTCTCTTCTAAAAATACAAAAATTAACCAGGCATGGTGGTGTGCACCTGTAATCCCAGCTACTTGGGAAGCTGAGGCAGGAGAATCGCTTGAACCTGGGAAGCAGAGGTTGCAGTGAGCTGGGATCATACCACTGCACTCCACCCTGGGCAACAGAACGAGACTCCATCTCAAAAAAAAAAAAAAAAAAAAAGACTCGGCTTAAGCATCTCCACCTCTGGCGAATCATCCGTGAACCCCTCCCCACAGGTCTGTTGTGCTTCAAGTTATCTCCCCTGTCAAGTTATGATGTCCTCAAAGTAGGGTTATTGAATCCACTGTGTTTGTCTTATTCCTGTTGGTAACTTTAGCCCCAAGCACAATGCCTGGCACATAATAGATGTTCAATATATCTGTTGACTAAATCTTAAATCTAAAATGAAGACACAGATAGGACTCTCAGTTTCAATAAGTGGTTAAAAATGAGTGGTACTACCATGAGATGCAACCCAGTTCTCCAATTTCAGATGAAATACATTCTTCTGTTTCTACTTATGAGAACTGAAGGAGATTTTAGGAAAAGGAAGCTGAATTTGCTCATTCCAATTAGAGAAGGAAGAAATCCAATAAAGGCTGTTATACATGGGTCTTGCCACTCCAGCTTTTGGTAAAGTCTATCTACTACACATAGCGTCATGGCATTGCTAGAATTCTGTAGCAAGTTGCTTTTCCTAGTCTGTGTAAAAAGGCTTGTATTAGGCCTTACCCACTCGTAAGGAATTTCTGAAAGATATGTGTTCAGTGATAGCATTTCTACTAAGTCCAAACACAGGCAATGCTTTTAAGAAGGAACAATGTGGTGATAATCACCATTTAATTTCAAGTGTTGCATATTTGTTTCAACAAATTTCAAAACATTTCCCAAAGGATTTTAAGGAAAGTCACCAAGGATGTTTAACAAAACAACATATGGAATGCTAATTTTGTTGTGATGCTATACTCTAATACAGCAAGAAACAGATTTTTCGTAAAATCAGCAGATTTGCAAACACTAATTAAGAAACATTGAAAACTATCAAGGTCAATTTAAAAATCTATTTGAAAACAAATATTCCTAGTCTTCTTAGTTCTAGTAATTTCCCACTGGGGATACACTGCACATCAACAAACTTTTACCATGCAAGTTTTACACTGGAAGTAAATAAATAAAGACATACTTTCAATTTTCAATACAAAGCCAAACAGTGAAATTTGGAGGGTTGGGTGGAAATAACCAATTTGTCTCTATCAGTATAATCTCTACTCAGGACTCTAAGATCCTTGGAGTATTGGATTTCACCTTAAGGTACATCATTCCTAAAAGATGTTCCAGAAGTTCTGTGTTTTCCATAAGGGAGTATGCTCTGACAGTGTTAACCCTAGGCAAGAATGATTCTGTCTTGTGTGGAAAAAGCAAGTAACAATGAGAAACTAGTTTTACATCTCTGTGCTGCCTTTTGTCCCATGGGCATTCTTTCCTCTGTCTCTCTGCCCATTGGACATTTTATTTTCTACAAGGCCCTCCACCCAAAAAGTAGAGGGAAAACATGTATGCATGTGTACATGATGTGCACATGTATATATATATGTGCATGCATGCATGCACATGTGTGTGTATCACTTTCCAAATGCTCAGATTTTCAACCAGTGGGCACTAACTAAACACTCATGTGATAAACCTAGCTGTATGCTTAGGGCCACTCATTTCTTGTCATAGTTAACTCCACGCATAGGAAGTGGGGAGATGTGTTATATTTACACTCTTCAAGAACAGAACCACTAGTAACAAGATATTTTAAATAGGATAATTCATAGCAAACTACCCTTTTGCCTAAGAACCATTGATCCACAACAGAAGACCTGATCCGAATCCAAAATAGAAAAGGTTAAAATATATCATTGCCTATCCAGATACCAAAACTTTTGCATTAGTTTAACATATTGCATTACCTCTTTACGCACTGTCTTATTCCAGAACAGACTTAAAGTGGTTTTGTTTGAAATAACTGTGACAGTGGTGAAAGTTTCAAAAGTTCTTGTTAAATGGAATTTGGCCTTTTGTTGCTATTGCATTTTCTTTGATGAAATTTCATATAAATGACATATACTTAAATAGGTCAGTTCTCCATCCCACACATCCACAGTACTGGGCTTCCCAGATGAAAACCAAAAAGTTTTTAAGATAGTAATGTATAAGTATAGCAAACAAAGATGAAAAAGTGTGTCAGAGTAAATGTTACAGAGATTAGTCAAACTTATCAACTGATTCCTTGAGGGACACTATCTCATAAACAAATACACATTCTCACCCCCTTTCTTCTTCATTTCATTTCACCATTTATGATAAAAATGAGGGAAATGTGAGGCTATGGGACAGGTAGGACAATTGTAACCACTGGGTGACTTTATCACATTTCATATACTGTGATATCCAGGGCTGTCGCCTATAGATACAAACAGCACGACAAATAAGACATACAACATTGGAAGTTTTAAAACATTATTTATTGCTAAGTCTAAAACACTCAAACACCACAGCGCAGTGATTGCCAAAGCTAAATTGGAGTTTGTGGGCTTTTAAAAAGTTTCTCTTCAGGGGAACATTTCAGCCCTGTGGAGAGGTGTGACATGTAAGGAGATGGAGCATCTGGCTGGAGACCAATTTGCCTATAAGCCCAAACCAAGTGGACCCATGTGGAGAGCTTTTATAAAATCATAAGCAGTAAAGCTGAAGAAAACTCTAGGTTCAGACTGCTTTATGGTATCAATAATTAAACTGGACTCACTGCACTCACAGGATTATTGCAAATTCTGAGTAAACCTAAAGAATTTTGAAATAATCTAATTATGCCTTTGTTTATTCATATTTACATACAGCATTTTTTTTCTCTGTTCTTAACTGGATGTTTAAAAAATTCACAGCTATCCAAGCATATTGTTTAAATGCTTATAGACAATTCACAGGAATTTCCCTCATGAGAGAGAAAAGCAGCATTAGTGATGCATATATCCAGGTCCCAGAGGCAGAGCAAGAATAACAAAATGCAAGACTAGAATTAATGTTTTTTAAAACTGTGGTAAAGTATACATAACATAAAATCTGCCACTTTTAACATGTTAAAGTATACAATTCAATTGCACTAAGTACATTCTCAATGTTGTGCAGTTATCACCACTACGTCCTGAACTTCTACTCATCCCTAACAGAAACTCTTTACTCATGAAACAATAACTCCTCACTCTGCTCCCCACCCCACCAACCGAAGCCTGGTAACATCTAGTTTATTTCTAATCTCCATGAATTTGCCCATTCTATGAACCTCACGTATGTGGAATCCTAATGATATCTGTCCTTTGTCCCTACTTATTTTACTTAGCATAATGTTTCAAAGTTCATCCATACACTGCAAAATATATCAGAATTCCATTCCTTTTTTATAACTAATATTCCATTGTATACTATGTTTTGTTTATCCAATCATCCATTGACAGACACTTCAGTTGTTTTCACCTTTTGGCTATTGTGACTAACGTTGCTATGATCACTGGTATACAAGTATCTGAGTCCCTGCTGTCAATTCTTCTGGGAGTAATTCCCAGGAGTGGAATTAATAGATCTTACAATAATTTTATGTTTAACTTCTGGAGAAACTACTAAGCTGTTTTTCACAGAGGCTGCACCATTTTACATTCCTACACTGCACAAGAGTTCCAATTTCTCCATACCCACATCAAAACTTTTTATTTTCTGGTTTTTTTTTTTTTGTATGGAATAGCCATCCCAATGAGTGTGAAGTAGTATTTCATTGTGCTTTAACTTGCATTTCCTTAATGACTAATAATGTGGAGCATCTTTTCATCTGCTTATTGATCTGTTTTCATCTGTTTATCTTCTTTGGAAAAATGTCTATCCAGGACCTTTCACCATTTTTTAACTGGGTTATTTGTTTGTTGTTGACCAATAAAGGTTCTTTAAATATTCTGATTCTTAATCCCTTATCAGATGTGTAATTTACAAATATTTTCTCCCATTCTGTGGGTTGTCCTTTTGCAAGATAGTGTCTTTTTTCTTTTTTCTTTTTTTTTTTTTTTAGACAGAGTCTCACTCTGTCACCTAGACTAGAGTGCAGTGGCACAATCTCAGCTCACTGCAACCTCCGCCTCCTGGGTGCAAGTGATTCTTTTGCCTCAGACTCCTGAGTAGCTGGGACTACAGGCACATGCCACCATGCCCAGCTAATTTTTGTATTTTTAGTAGAAATGGGGTTTCACTACGTTGGCCAGGGTGGTCTCGAACTCCTGACTTCAGGTGATCCGCCCACCTCGGCATACCAAAGTGCTGGGATTACAGGCATGAGCCACCACGCCTGGCCTCGATAGTGTCTTGTGATGTACAAAAGTTTTTAATTTTGATGAAGCCCATTTTGTCTATTTTTTATTTTGTTGCCTGTGCTTTTGGGGTCATATCCAAGAAATCATTGCCAAATCCACTGTCGTGAAGATTTCCCCCTGTATTTTCTTCTGAGACTTTTATACCTTTATCTCAAGATAGGATACAATTTCATGCTTTTGCATGTGGAGATCCAGTTTTCTTGGCACTTTTGGGAAAAAGAGTTTCCTTTCCTCATTGAATAGTCTTGGCACCTAGCTTAAAATTCAGCTTACCCCACATGTGTGGTGGGTTTATTTCCAGGCTCTCAATTCTATTACATTAGTCTATATATGCTTGTCCGTCTGTCAGATCATACTGTTCTGATTCCTATAGCTTTGAAGTAAATTTTGCAATTTGGAAGTGTGAGTCTTCCACCTTTGTTCTTTTACAAGATTGTTTTGGTTATTTGAGGTCACTTCAAGATGGGTTTTTTATTTCTGTAAAAAACACTAGTGGGATTTTGATAGAGGTTGCATTAAATCTGGAGATCGCCTTGAGTAGTAGAATCATCTGACTAATACAGCCTTCCAATCCATAATCACAAGATGTCTTTCCATTTACTTATGTGTATTTTAATGTCATTCAACGCAATTTTTAAAGCTTATTCTTACAAACACTTAATCACCACTTATTATGTGCCAGAAACTGTTCCACGTGCTTTAAAATTATTAATTTATTTAATCCTCATAACCCCATATAAAGTACTATTTTAGCTTCAGTATATGAATAAAAAAGCTGAAGCACAAAAAGGTTAGATAATTTGTTCAAAGTCACATGGCCACTAAGTGGTAGAACTGGGATTTAAACCCAGGCAGTCTGGCTACAGAGTCCACGCTCCTATTATGCTACACTCCTTTTCAAGCATTCATTCATTCTACAAATATTCACACAACACCTGCTAGTTCTCCTGAAGCAAGCCATGAGACAAGAGTTTGTGTGCAGGTGATTCATTAGTGAAGTGCTCCCAGGAGAAATCAGTCAAAGGAATAAGGAAAGCAGGACTGAGAAGGGGAAGAATCCAAACAAGGGTTTGAAGGGCCTGCCTCAGCCTAATCCTGCGGAGCTGTAGTGTGTCCACCTCAAGGCAAGAAGCAGGGCCTTCATACTGCTGCACCACTCTGCAGCATAACACTGCTGTGGAGATAAACTTCTAGACAATCCCAGCTTTCCATATGTCTGAGTGAAGTGCCTCCAGTAATTCAAGTTCAGTCCTCTGGAGAAAGTTACAAGTTCAAGTTGTTAGGAACAAAGCGTGCTGAAGGTGGAGGATAGACTTAACAGAGGTCAAAAAGTGGACTCAAGGGATCTGGGCACAGGGCAAACAATATGTATTGCATCTAAGGCACTGTACCAAGCATTAGAAGAAGCAAGATGAATGAGACCAATACACTCCCCTTCAAAGAGATTATGTGTTGGCAGAAAGACAGGCATACTTTATGTAGGGTACATGGTGATAAATATTATAAGAGGGGCAAACACATTGCTAAGAAGTTAGAGAGAAGAGTAACAGCAAATGTTTTATCCCCTGGTTAAAGGAGTCACAAAAACATCATTAAAGATGTAGCATTTGATCTAGGTGTTGTAAATGGAAAGACTTGGGGAAAGCCTACAAGACCATTCAAACATGAGCAGCCACACCGAGATATGAAGGTATTGAGCACTTTCATAATCATACCACTCAGCAATATTGTACTTCCTTACAATATTGTTAGAATACTGGAATATTGGAATTTGTCATGAGTTCCCCAAAAAGTATTAGAAATACACACTGTCAGGCTCCACACAAGACCTACTGAATCAGACACTCAGAAGTGGGGTCCAGCAGGCTACGTGTAAACCAGCTCCGCAGGAGACTGTGATGCCTGCTTAAGTTGGAGAGATACTGTTCTATCACACCCAGGATCATGGGCCTGTGAAAGCTCAACCAAGCGCTAGACATCAGGCCACCTGGGACCCACCAGCCCAGCATCACACTCATACACACTCCTGGTCTGGAATGAATAACACCCAGGACTGAAAAGGGAGTTTAGACTAGATGAAGGGACAGTCATCCAAAGAGCAGCCTTTTGTGAAGAACAAGCTTGAGGCTCAGAATTCCATGAGGCCTAATCAGTGAGAAAAAAAAAAAAAGACAAAGAGGAAGGGTTTCATTGATCAGAGAGTGCATCCTGGACCATCGAGAGCTGACCATCCTCCCATCCATTTCCTGGAAGTTCTCAGAGTTCTTGATCTTCCATTTCCTTTGGGAACTGGTCCAGCTCTGGGGGCTCATAAATACCCACACTGCCTCATAAAATGACTGGTCAAAAGAGGATGAGGGCAGGCCGTACTACTTTGAGATCATATGTCAAATACTATATAGAACACCAGATATTTACTACAGAAAAAACTGTTGAGCAGTGACCATTAATATATTAAAGTATAGTTTATGAAGGAATAGCAGTTTCATGGGCCAGGATATGCAGAAGGAATAGCAGTTTCATGGGCCAGGATATGCAGAATGGTGACATGAATGTATGATGATGGGGACAGGCATTAAGGTCAGGATGAGGAACCATTAGGCAGAGGAGTGAAATAAACAGAAGTCATGCTTTAGGTAAATGATTGTCAAGTTTTGCAAAATGGATTAGAAAGGAGAGATGCTGGAAGAGGAAAAATCTGTTAGGCTCAAAAGTACAACTGTTGATAGGAGGAAAATATATGAGAAACTGACATATATGACATAAATTAAGAATATGACAAACACAAGTCTAAGGGAAGTCAAGGGAACATTTTTATGCAGACTGTAGATATCAATAAATACAACACACCTCTTCTGTAAAAGTCAGCTTTTTAGCTGAAACACCAAAGTCATTCTTACCCTCAAGACATTGGTCATTAAAATTACCCACACAATAAAACATAGTACAGAGAAGCTACAACTACACTATGCTGTTTAACTCTCACATTTACCATGGAAGTGTTCTAAAACATGAACAAGCTAAATGATTCCAGTTGTCTTTAAGACAAATGCATGCAATCACACTTTTAGCTTAAACCTACAAAAAGATTCATTCCCTAACAAGTTGGCAGGTTATGAATGAACAAAATGACAATCTACATGCCACTAAACTCTCCAGATCTGTTGTTACATTTAGGGAAACCATCCACCATCAGAGTTAGGCATTATCTTATTATCAGCTCATCAAAAAAAGTTATCATCTGCGCAGATTTACAATTTAACATTAATATCAAGTATTTATTGAGTGCTCATAATGTGTCGGGCACTATGCCACTTACATGCCTTACAACATTTATTGCTGAGCACAAAGAATTAAATGCATTGCCTAAGTTACACAGCTTTTAAGTAGAAAAGCCAGGATTCAAATCCAGATCTGCAGACCCCAGAGTCAGAGTTCAATGCACTAAGCAACTTTTCTTCACACATTAGCCTTTTTAATTTAATCCTCCTAACAGTCCTTGTTTGAGATAGTCATTGTTATCACCATTTTACAGGTGAGGAACATGAAACACGAAGAAGTTAGGTGCCAGGTTAGCCCACTGGGAAGATCTGATCTGAGTTGTCTAAGTTCCCAGGGCAGGGCTGCCCCACTATCTGATATAGGGGATACTCGCATTGGAGGCATCCTCAATATTTCCAAAACACATCAATAGTTTCTGAGAAAGAAAACAGAACATTTGAAACATAGCCCAGCTTGTGCACATGCACACACACACTCACACACACACACACATAATGTGGCAGCTTAGTAAACGAGGTAGATGGTGTGGAAAGTGTCTACATTTTTAGCTTTTTACTATCAGTTAATGATTATCAGTCTACGTGTAGAGGGTGGACATATATCGATATAGATAAATACATAAATATCTATATTTAGAAAGAAATCACATGGATTAGCTGTGATTTCTGTAAATCCATGGAGAAATTCTCATATATTATTATAAAAAATAAAAAAATTATCTCGATAGAGAAAACATGCAAGTGCAATGGCATTGATCAAGGGTTACATCATTCGCGGTCAATTTTCCATGTCTATTCTGTATGATACAACTCTTAAAGACAACATCAATCCAGAGATCATATACATTTTCCTAACTAAAGACCCTTTGCACTATCTGAATGTTATTTTCTGAAAGAATAACCCTTAGTTAATTCCTAGGAGTTCCCTAATTTGCACCCATACCTCAAATTCAACTCATTCTTTCTTTAATGCATCAGTTTTCATTTTGAAGAGAGAACGTATACAGCATGACAAAAGTAAACTCAGAAACACTGCAAGGTATTTTGTTTTTGAATGGGGAACACAAGTCCAAAAGTAATTATTACCTGCCCAAATATTTCCACAAACTATTGTTACCATTTTGAACACTTTTTATCAGTATTATTTTAATTCTGCAAGTAAATATCTTCTGCTCAACAGACATGCAAAGATCATTCACTCCCATTCTTTAGGAGAATGGCCAGAAGCATCTCAAACTCTGAATAGGGAACGAAAGATGCAAGCTCAGCCAGGTACAAGGTCTGCAATCACAGCCACAGCTTCATATAAACAGAAATCAGGATTTCTCCAATCCTGTGATTATGTCAGGAAATCTCAAATCCCTGAACCAATTGATTAATACAACGATGATGGGTTCAGGAAACAAAGCTGGGTGGTGGGGGTGGGGATGGGGGGCTGGAAGGGGCTGGGCAAGAAAGGCTACACTTAAAACATAATTTGCCCTTTTCCTTCCATGCCTATGGGGAAAGTGTGATGGAAGATGTCACCCAGATTGCAGCCTATGTGTTTGGGCAAAGTTCTAGGTTATCATTTATGTATCCTACTTGCACTTTGATCTTTGTCATGCTGACAAAGGAAATGAGTGGAACAAGCCAGGCAAACCCCCAACGCATGGTAATCATGACAGATGAGTGGGGGAGTTGAGCCATTCCAGCTGTCCTCGCAGGCCATCACCAGGCCCTGGGTGATCTATTAGTAGGGTGAGCCCAGGTGCAGGGACTCCGCTCCAGGCTCAGAGAGTGCAGCCCCAGCCATTAACTGATGTAAGCCATGGAGTAACTTATGAAAAAAGCATGCAACAGGAACAGCAGTCAGGAAATGGTTACAAATTAGAAACAGAGGTATGGAGGGCAGAGGGGCCTCTCATGCCACAGTAATAAAAGCAACTTCCTCTTTTTCCTAATTTCAGAACCACAGAGTAGAATTCTCTCCATATGAAATTCCTCACAAGTCGCAGGCTGCACTAAACCACCGCCTGTCCCTTTCAATGTATCACAGTGTACTCACATGGAAACAGATGTTGCCGCCTTCCTGTCACACTGTTAAGGGAAAGTGTGCTGTGACGTGGGGAATGGTGACCTATGAACTCTCAAGACAATTCTCTAGCACCTCATAGATGCTTTTGTTTTCTAGAAAATCGGGATCCTTAAAGTTTGATAAAGCATTCCAAGATGGTGTAGCTCAAGTTTGATGAGTCTGATAGGCTCTGTTATTGAGCTGAAGGGAGCCTCTCACAGCTTGCAAGTCAAGTACAATGCTGACCTGTGAAAGCTCCTTGATTTCACTCTGACTGTCTTCCTCAGGCTGGCTGACTCAGCACCCTTGCCTCAGACCAGCTTCCTGTACTGGTCAGAATAATTCACCCTCTTATCTGTGTCTTCAAGATTATTTTTACATGGCTGTATTGTGACACTTATCCTACCACATTGTAATCAGTCATCATGTTTATGTTTGTCTCTCCAACTGAACGGTCTCTTCTTGTGGACAGGATGTATGCCTTCTACTGCCTTCCATCCATAGGAGTGATCACTTATGGTGCCCATGGGTGTATGTGGAGTGAATGATGGATACACTTCAGCCTGAACTGTCAATGTTTATTATGACCGAGCACAACATATATATTTATTTCTCTTTCTGTCTGTTTTAGATTGTATACTTCCCTGTGATTTAACTAAGCCATTTCTCTGTTTACAAACTTTGAAAGACAGCTTAAAGATGTTTTAAAGTTATATGTGAGTATAGGTTGAGTATGTTTACAGAGGATAGTATTCCTGGTAGCATTCAGCCTGGAAGTCAATTCTCTCCCTCAAAAGACACATAATATCCCTAAGGAAAATAAATAGAACGTTATATTCAGCAGAAACGTACTTAAACCTCTTATTCCAGAAATCAACTTTTCAATGCAAAGGCCAAAACCGTCACTAAGGATCACCAAAGGGTGGAGTGGGAACTAAGAGAACAAGAAGTTTGTAATCCATAAAATCACAAGTGTTCCAAGAGGAGGATGTCCTAGGAGAACCTGCTGGGCAAAGAGCATGCCCACTTGAATACAGAGGGCCTGAGAAAAGAGCTCAGTGAGGGCCTCCGAGCAACAAGGCATTGCAGAGACATGGCACACTGCTGCCTGAGGGAAGGCAGGGAGAAGGCTGCCACAGGCACCTGACAAGACAAGAGAAAAGAGAAGAAAACAGGTAAAATGGGTAAAACAGAAGGCAAGAATAAGGGAAAGTGCTGCAGTAAGATTTTGTAGCCAGAAGAGGAGAGCTGTAGTACTATAGTAAATGGATCCTGAAGAACAAAGATGAAATGTATGTGAACTCTGAAAAACATCTAGAGCCCCTTGCGACACCTCAAAAGACACAATGAGAGTAAAATGGAAAAAGAACAGAACAATGGCTATTCTGGCTAGGAAGAACCTGCTAAGTGAATTGAAACTGGTGGACAAAGGGAAGTATATTCATATTTGATTTAACTGTTCAAATAATTATTTAGTACCTTTAGTTAATGCTTTTGCCATAGCATATGATTACATGGTTCTGAAATAAATGCTTTTGGTTATAAGTCTCAGAATAAGAGCCCTGAAAGGATATTGTATGTATAACAAATGCTTCAATGTGTGGTTGCTCTCCTCTACCCAAGCAGGCATAAACAGTTCTTGATGGAATCTGCCTCTACTCCTGCTTTCTCATACAAGAAGAGAAAAGGTACAATAGAGCAGAATTGGTGTCAGAAAGCAAACGCAACTTCATGAAAGACTAGGTATTCCAGGGAAGAACAATTCTGGATTGTTAGCTAGCAGGAATACTTAGTAACACTAGCAACACTGAACACAATACAAATAGTCCTTCCCTATACGAAGAGATACAACCAATAGCAGAGGAGAAGGCATTCATATCCCATAAAAGGAAGAGGACCAGAGTCACAGACAAGACCAAAGAGGATTTAAATTTGATTAAATTTCTTAATCGGGTAGTAGAGCCACCAGCATAGATAACAATTTATGACTGTTTAGAGTCTCTTCATCAGGTGGTAGAGCCACCAGCATAGACAGCAACTGATGATTGTTGATATCCTAAACCACTGATTGTAAAGTCTCCCAACCCTTCTCTCAGCTTCCAGTGTCTAGCCCTTGCAATCTATCTTTTGTGACAAGATCAAAGTAATCATCCTGAAATAAACCCAAACATGCTATCTCCTCCTTACAATCCTCTCCTAGTTGCATTCCACTGCCTATGAAATGAATTCTCAATTGTTCTAGGACAGCACTGTATATTCCTCAGAATCTGACCCCGAGCTACCCTGCCAGTTTTATCTTCCACTGTCCACTCCCCTCATCTTTTTCTTCTGCTACACAAGACTCTTCAACAACTCAGAAACATTTATGTATATTCAAATGTCTATACTGCCTCCTCATGCTATTTCCACACTTATAACCTGCTTTCCACAACTCACACACCTAAATCATATTTATCATTCAAGGCCCTCCTCAAATGTCTTTTTCTCAATGAATCTTTCCTTGGGCCAATCAATCATAATAACTGTTCTTGCCCTTATGTTCCGACCACATTATGCTAATGTCTGACTGCATCACCACTGAAAACTGACATACTAGAGAGTTGTGTGTGTCCAATGTTCACACTAGATAATAAATTCCTAAGGCAGAGGTACACTGTCTTTTCCATCTTTGGTTTCCTCCTAGACAATTTCAGCCAAATGCTTGCATTTCTTTAAGGCTACCTCTAATTTGACATTCAACTAAATTCAGTCATTATTCCAGGATTTATTGTTTATTCCTAGTCATTACAAAAGAGTTTTATTTTTAATATTTTCTATTCATAATTCATTAGCTAAGTCTACAGAAAGTGTATTATCAGACCTAATAACACATAAAAGTCTCCCTTGAAAGAGACAGAATTTTATATTGAGCAGAAACATAATGAAGCCTCTTATACCAGAAATCAGCTTTTCAATGCAAAGGCCAAAACCCTCACTAAGAATTTAACCAAAGAATAGGGTGGGAAATAGGAGAACAAGAAGGTTGTAATCCATACATTCACAAGTGTTCCAAGAGGGCCATCAGAAGGAGATCCAAGGAGAAACTGTTGGGCAAAGAGTATGCCCACTTGAATATAGAGGCCCCAAGGAAAGAGCTCAGTGAGGGCCTCCGGGTAACAAGGTGGTTATTAGGCAATACACTCAAGTCAATTATTGCATGTTTACTTAAAAACTCAATACAAAAATATAAAATATGATACTTCCCTTCAATAAATAGATAAGAAGACATGGATTGGGTGTCCGAAGATAGGAAAGGATGAATAGGAAGAGCCAGCGGGTTTTTAGGGGAATGAAACTATTTTGTATGATAATACACTGATGGATATGATACATGTCATTATACACTGTTTTAAATCCATAGCATGTACAACACAAAGAGTGAGTTCTAATGTAAACAATGGAGTTTGGGATGATAAGGATGGGTCAATGTAGGTTCACTGATTATTGCAAATGTACAACTCTGGGGGTGGGGGAATGCTGATGACGGGACACTATGGATATGTGGGCACGTGGTATATATGAGAAATTCTGTATCTGCTGCTCAATTTTTCTGTGAACCTAAAACTTTTCTAAAAAATAGTCTACTAAAAAAAGAAAAAGTTGGGTGCCATAGTTCATGCATGAAATCCCAGCAATTAAAAAGGCTGAGGCAGGAGGGTTGCTTGAAGACAGGAGGTCAAGATGCACTTAAGCAACAAAGCAAGACCTGTCTTACAAAAACCGTTAAAAATTTTAAAAAATTAGCAGTGTGCCATGGGGTGTGCCTGTAGTTCCAGCTATTCAGACAGTTTAGCGGGGAGGAGCATTTGAGCCCATGAGTTCGAAGCTGCAGTGAGCTATGATTGTACCACTACACTCCAGCCTGGACAATAAAATGAGACCTAATCACAAAAAAAAAAAAAAAAAAAAGAAAGAAAGAAAAGAAGAAAGAAGTTTATAGCTTATTTGGAGGATTAAAATTAAAACACACAAAAAGTAAAGAATGCGAAACAGTATAAAACTGAGGTCACTAAATGAAATACTTGTGTTAAAAAGTTGTAGAAAATATATCTAAGATTATAAGGCTAAAAGGAGACAAAATAGTTAAGAGTTGACATGATAAGGAAAATAAAAATCCCACTTGTAAGAATTTGTTTTAAAAGAGTAAACAGACATGTGCAAAGCTCTATGTATGAAGCTGTATCTCAGCATAAATTACAAACAATCTTGATATTCAACACTGGATTAGTTAAATAAATTATAAAATATCCATAAAGCAAATACACCAAAATGATTAAAAATAATCCTTTCATAGGTATATGTATGTGAATGAAAAATGATAATATATCAGAGTATTATTTCTAATATTTTATAAAACTACACATACACAAAATTTTAAAAAGCTATAAAGAGAAGTAACCTCTGATCCTTGAATTAAGGAAAACATTTATTTCCTTCTTTTGTTTATCTCTATTATCTGCATTTTTATAGTATGCATTTACTTTTTGTAATTCAAATAAGAGCTGAAAGATAATCTTAGTATCTCAGAACAATCTGGAACTCAATGTTGGCATTCCCTCCTTTTCTCTCTGAATCCAAAATTAGATATAATAAGATTAAGTCCATAAAAAAGTTTTGAAATAAATAAAACACTCTACTTAAAGTAATAATAATAAAAAAGACATAGCCATTATAAGTTTTTAAGGAAGGTATGATGGTTATTTTATGCATAAACTTGACAGGGCCACAGGGTGCCCAGACATTTGGTCAACCATTATTCCAAGTGTGCCTGTGAGTTTGTTGTTGGAAGAGATTAACTTGTGAATCAGCAAACTAAGTACAGTAGCTCTCAACCAATCAACCGAAGACATGAATGGGGACAAAAAGGCTACGAGGGAACTTTGCTTGCCTCGCTGTTTGAGTTGGGACATTGGTCTTCTCTGATCCTCAAAGTGGAACCACATCACCAGCTTTCCTGGCTTTCCTGCTTGTCAACTGCAGATCTTGGGACTGATCACATGATTCAATTACTCATAAGTCACATGCATATGACTAGTCTCTTCTGTAGTTGTCAGGGTTCTCCAGAGAAACAGAAACAGAAGCAATAGGAGATATATCTCTTATTACATTAAGTCTCCTATTGCTTCTGTTTCTCTGGAGAACTCTAATACATAAAAGATTATGATTAGAATTATGCTTGAAGAAGGTTAATCTTATAATGGCATGCAGAGCGGAGCTGGGCAAGGCCAGAGGCTAAATATGGAGCCAGAAAGATACTGCAGAAAGTGAGCAAAAAGGATGAGTGGATGGCCTGGGGTGGAATCCGTGAAAAAGGGCAGATTGTCAGTCTCAGGAAATCAACAGGACTGAGTTCTAACTTCAGCTGGGCTACTATGCCCTGGGGTAAGTCACTGCCCTCGCCTAAGCCTCTGATTCTTCATCTATAATGTGAATTTGATAGATCATAAATCTTCCAGGGTCCTTTTCTATTCTATGAGTCTAAGAGTCTGTTGTCAATAGGAAAAAATATTTAGAGGCTTTTATTCAAACTGTGAATACATTGGCTTAATTTTGTTGTCTTACACTGAATATTCCATCAGTGCTCAATAAATAATACATTAAGCCAGCTCTTTTGGACTTCAGGCTTTAATTTTAATGCCCTGACTTTTGGCAAACTCTTTACAATATCAATTACTTTATTAACTTTGCAAACATATAATGAAAAAATGGGCACATTACTTTGAAATAGGCCTGTCTTAATCTAATTACCTTTCTTAAGGAAAAAAGCCAATTTATGAGTATAATTATTTCATATCAAATAATTTATTGATAATGAAACATTAAATAACCACAGCACTTGATGTAATTTGAGGACAGCGCACAGGAGTTAAAGTGAGGTTCCAGTATTCCAAAGAGCCATGCCAGTGTGATACGTGTGAATTCTTTTCCCATTGGTCTGCTACATGTAATGATGTCCTGTGTCTAAGTCTGAGCTAGGGCAGGAGGAAAGAGTGTTGTTAAATTTATTCCAAATAGAAATCCCATGTCAAAGGTGAAAGACATTTGAGTGCTGGGCTTGAAGATTAACTTCCTGGATGTTGAACTTCATGTGATCCATATGATGTATGATTCTGATTTTATAGATACACATGACTGAGCCTATCTGATCAAATTAAGGCAATCTTACAAACAAATCAGTAGGCCACAGATGCAATAAGCCCACAGAGAGTGCATTGTTTGAATCACATTCATTAATGCCATCTTCATCCCCATCACACAGTTCTCTGGGTATTTCCAAAGTCAAATGTTTAAAAGAACACACCCATGATTCTTCTGTGGCAAGCATACTTTGTTATTCTCTATATAACTGTAAAAATCAAACAGAAAAAGAAAGGAAGAAAAAAGGATGGTACACCAAATCTCTTTTCAGCCTGTTATCTGATCTCTTAGAACCTGGACACACAAACCAACTCTTACTTTCATAAAATTATTCTCCTTCCTTTGTCTTGGTTTCTTTTTACAATGAAAACTGGATCTAACAGCGTTAATGTCCGGAAGCTTTCAGGTAAGGCCATATTTTACATCATATTTTATTGGTCTTGGCAGTAAACTTGGAATTAGCCATTAAGTCAGGATTTCTCATCTCGTCAACTCCAGGAAAAATGCAATAGACAAAGGAGAAACAGCCAGAGACCTTGACCAACAGAACTATATTAAACCAGTAAAACAAAAAGTATTCCATGTGTGCTCCAGTAAGAAAGAAGAAAGGAAGGCTCAACATTTCTATCATGAGGACTTCTTCCAGCAGAGAGGCTCCACAGGAGACCTTTCATTGACCTTCACTGAGAAATACCGAATATGTCATGACTTTCTTCAACTCCACCTCTTCAGTCCATGCTATCAGTTGAGGTTTATGAGAGCTGAGCTATCATTTCTAAAGACAGAGGAATTTGTTCCAAAAATATCTGGCTTTCCACCCCCACCTTCATTTATAAAACAAACCATCTAAGTCTTTCAGGCTATTTTTCCACCAGCTTGTTTATAATGTGGTAATGATTATGCTAATACCAGTTGGGAATACATTCTATGTGGACATGTTGTGGGAATGTGATTGGAGTGTGTGGGGGAGAGGAGAGGGCTGTATAAGTGCATGAGGAGAGCTATTCTATAAAATTATAGTACATGCCCTCTTTCCATATTTACTAGTTTTTGTAAGCTCCTTCTCAAATGGGAAATAGACCATGCTTCCTTTCCAGAAGGATAGTTATTGAATAACGAACACCATGTGTTCTGCTATGTCTTATTTGTCTGAGCACTCTGCAGCTATTTTCTAAACCAAATTAATAACAGTATACTAAACTGATTTCCCTAGTGAAAACTGCTGGCTACTACCAATGTCAGTATGTACACCCCACTGCTCCCCAAAGCTTAGGTAATCACTGCATAACCAAAGTCTACAACAGCCCCAGAGTGGGGGCAAGGCAGCTTTCATGGTACACAAGGGAAAATTGACAGCCTCTAATTAAATGAGACTGTTTACACAAGCGATAGAGTATTACAACACTTTCCCTACAAAAAGAAGAGAATGTGAAATTTCAGAAAAGACAGATTTAATGTGGAACTTGTCACCACCGTCAGCTTCGGCATGATAAAATGCACATGGAAAGTCCCTTGCAGCAAGCCCGCTGCAAAGAAGATTCTTCCTTCGTCTGGGTCAGAGGGTGTGGATGTCTCTAAAGAAAATGCTACCTCTCCTTTGCTCACACACCCACTTGCGGCACAGTGAGCTTTCCACAGCATATATGGGATCTGTGGGCTGAATGCTGGAGACACAGGGGCCAGAGCCTGGCAGTGAAGACTCCTGGGTTATGGAGGAAAAAGGAAGTATCTCCTTTCTACAAATTAAGAAAATGCACATCCACATGACAGCTTAACACAGGACACCGGGTGTGTACAGAAACTGCCCTAAAAAAAAAAAAAAAAACCTCCCACCTTCACCCAAGCCAAGTAAGTTGTAAGCAAAGACAACACAATTCTGGTAGTCAACTGATCTCAAAAGGGATCTCTAATTTTTAATATTACATTACTCCAAACTAGAGTGCCTCCTTACCAAGTATGATTTTTGTCACATCAATATATGGGCATTTTTGTGAAGCCATACCTGAAAACAGGCTTCTGTTTTCTCAGCTAAACTCTCAATAAATGTTGGCAGTGATGGAAGTTTGGAATACTTTCATATTTCAAATGTGGTGCTTTTGTTCCCAACTAAATATATAGGCACATATACTTATTATTAAAACACACTCTACAAACTCCCTACTGGGGGAATTTTAGTTCCATTTGAACATCACAACTAAAACATTCTATTCATTCCACAGCATGTTCACTCTCTCCAAGTAAGAATTCTTTCTGGTGTTTTCTGACATAAACCTAAAAGTTCATTATAATTTGCACATGAAAAATCCTTTTAACAGTTAGAATCAAAAGTAGCATGAGTTAATGGTCCAGTCCACCAGATAAACTTTTGCAGGTTTCCATCTGAAAGTCATAATATAACCTTTTATCCTGTGTGTCATTGGTACAGAAGGTTTTGCAAGGCAGGGTTCTTCAAACTGCAAGATGTTAAACAGATGTACGGCAGAGTCTTCCAATCCTAAACTATGAAGAGCCTGTTTTCAGTCTGTGTGTTGCAGCCTTCATTTTTTAAATTATTTTATCAAGATCTTCAGGTTTGCACATTTCATTTGTGAAAATTTTGTACTTGTTATCATTTTTTGAGCTGCATATATTTTAGAGAACTAGATTTTAAAACATACTGTTTTTGAACTAAATAAAGAATATTAA